>NC_000003.12:197631561-197782560 GCF_000001405.40 Homo sapiens
CACCAATGCGCGGAGAACAGTAGTGCCCCGAATGTCTGGCTGCGCTGTTATTTATTGGATACAAGGCAGAAGGGGCAGGGTAAAGAATGTGAGTCACCTCCAATGATAGGTAAGGTCACGTGGGTCACGTGTCCACTGGACAGGGGGCCCTTCCCTGCCTGGCAGCCGAGGCAGAGAGGGAGAGGAGACAGAGAGAAAGACAGCTTATGCCATTATTTCCGCATATCAGGGACTATTAGTATTTTTACTAATTTACTACTGCTATCTAGAAGGCAGAGCCAGGTGTACAGGATGAAACATGAAGGCGGACTAGGAGCGTGACCACTGAAGCACAGCATCACAGGGAGACGGTTAGGCCTCCGGATAACTGCAGGCGAGCCTGACTGATGTCAGGCCCTCCACAAGAGGTGGAGGAGCAGAGTCTTCTCTAAACTCCCCCGGGGAAAGGGAGACCCCCCCCCCCCCCGCCCTTTCCTGGTCTGCTAAGTATCGGGTGTTGTTCCTTGACACCTTTTGCTACTGCTGGACCACGATCCGCCTGGTAACAGGCATCTTCCCAGACGCTGGCATCACCGCTAGACCAAGGAGCCCTCTGGTGGCCCGGTCCGGGCATAACAGAAGGCTCGCACTCTTGTCTTCTGGTCACACCTCACTATGTCCCCTCAGCTCCTATCTCTGTATGGCCTGGTTTTTCCTACACTATGATTATAGAGCGAGGATTATCATAATATTGGAATAAAAAGCAATTGCTACAAACTAATGATTAATGATATTCATATATAATCATATCTAAGATCTATATCTGGCATAACTATTCTTGTTTTATATTTTATTATACTGGAACAGCTCGTGTCCTCTGTCTCTTGCCTCGGTGCCTGGGTGGCTTGCCACCCACATAATCCCAGCACTTTGGGAGGCTGAGGTGGGAGAATCACCTGAGGTCAGGAGTTTCAGACCAGCCTGGACAACATAGTGAAAACCCATCTGTAGTAAACATATAAAAATTAGCTGGGCATGGTGGTGTGTGCCTGTAATCCCAGCCACTTGGGAGGCTGAGGCAGGAGAATCATTTGAACCCAGAAGATGGAGGTTGCAGTGAGCTGAGATCACATCCAGCCTGGGTGACAGAGTGATATTCTGTCTCAAAAACATAGTAATAGGAATAATAAAGGAAAAGTGCAAAAATTCAAACAACTTAACAGAAACTGGGCAAAAGAGCTGAACCGGCCCTCCACAGAAGAGGAAATGTGGAGGAATGGCTAATGAAAACATGAAGAGGGGCTCAGCCTAACAGGGGGAGATATCACGTGACAACCACCAGACGGGCAAAAATCCCACAACCCAATCCATGCCAGCGTTGGGGAGAATGGAGAGAAGCAGGAACAACAGGCACTGCTAACGCTTGTGAAGTATATTTCTGCTATGCTTGTATATGAAAGAGTGTGTGTTGTGGGTTATGAGGAAAATTACATTTTTACCTGGGATGAAATTTTAAAATTTGAAAGCTACTGACCAGAAGAAACTTGCGCTGTGTACAAAAGAAATGCCCAAGAACGTTCCCAACAAAACACAGTCCTAAGGGCCCCAACCTGGCCAAACACTCATCCACGGGAAGATGAAGACATTTCCCATGCTCCCCTCAGACGACGGGAGACCATGCAGCAATGAAAATGAGCCATGTCAGTGTGGGTGGGTCTCAGGGAGAGAATGGAGGACAAAAATAGACACAGAGCAGGTGCTCAGAGCCATGCAGTGCAGGAGCAGCCACGCAGGAGAATTCCCTCACGTCAAAGTTCAAAACTACAGCCGAGGCAACAGAGCAAGACCCTGCCTCAAAAAGAAAACAGAAAGTTCAAAAACTAAATGGCATATCTTTTAGGGATGTACACACACGGTGAAAGAAACATACTATGAAGGAAAGTGTGCAAATAATAAAGACTAAAGCAGGAAATGATTCCCTCCGTAGGAGAAGGGAAGGGACTGGGACTCAGGCAGGGCCTCCAGGGAGCATCCAAAGCTATGTCTCTTCAGATTCTACTCCCTAAACTTGGTGGAGGTCCTCTGTGTCCAATGTGTCAATATTCTTTATACCTTAACCATACTGTACAAATGCTTTATTTCTATTCAATATTTAGAAGACAGTTATAAACAAGATGCATTCAATAGCATGGTGGCAGATGAACATCAGGAAGGAACATCCATGAGCTTCCATCCACGGAACCTCACCATGGATACGCTTGTGATCAAGGGCCTGGTCTCCCCTCAAGACACGGTCACAGATCAGAGGCCACACCATCCTAGCAGTGGAGCAGGACCAGCTGGGACAGGGTCCTTCTGTGACACCTGCTGCATCACCAGGCTGGGTGAACGGACACAATTGCCAGAACTCACAGAATAGAAGTATCAGCACCGAAACCTCACAGGAAAAATGGTAAGTTCTAAGTTTCTCCATTAATAGTAACTCTCAGATTAATCTCTGTCATCCATCGCTTCTCCAAGAAATGACTTTTTAGGGTGATGTGCCAGGCGCCATGTTGGAGGGCTGGTGGTAGCGGCTTGGGGAGGTGCTCACTCTGTCGGTCTCACTCTCTCACACGCTTCCCCTGGCTCCCTTCGTTCCCCCCCACCCCACTTGGCCTGCGTGCTGGAGGGTGTGCGAGGGAGTGGGAGGATGTCGGGGGGTGGGGGGAGGCGTTCCGGTCCCCAAGAGACCCGCGGAGGGAGACGGAGGCTGTGAGGGACTCTGGGAAGCCATGGACGTCGACAGGCTCCAGGAGGCGCTGGAAGATTTTGAGAAGAGGCAAAAAAGAAAGTCTGTCCTGTCCTGGATCAGTTCCTTTGTCATGTAGCCAAGACTGGAGAAACAGATTCAGTGGTCCCAATTTAAAGGCTATTTTATTTTCAAACTGGAGAAAGTGATAGATGATTTCAGAACTTCAGCTCCTGCGCCAAGAGGTCCTCCCAACCCTAAAGTCGAATATATTCCCTTTGATGAAACAAAGGGAAGAATACTGAAAACTGTCACTGGATTTAACCGTATCCCTTTTACTATTCAGCGACTATGTGAATTGTTAACAGATCCAAGGAGAAACTATACAGGAACAGACAAATTTCTCAGAGGAGTAGAAAAGAACGTGATGGTTGTTAGCTGTGTTTATCCTTCTTCAGAGAAAAACAATTCCAATAGTTTAAATCGAATGAATGGTGTGATGTTTCCTGGAAATGCACCAAGCTATACTGAGAGGTCTAATATAAATGGGCCTGGGACACCCAGGCCACGTAATCGACCAAAGGTTTCTCTGTCAGCCCCCATGACAACAAATGGGTGGCCTGAGAGCACAGACAGCAAAGAGGCAAATTTGCAGCAAAATGAAGAGAAAACTCACAGTGACTCTTCGACATCTGAATCAGAAGTTTCCTCAGTGAGCCCTTTGAGAAATAAACATCCAGATGAAGATGCTGTGGAAGCTGAGGGGCATGAGGTAAAAAGACTCACGTTTGACAAAAAGGCGAAGTCGGAGAAACAGCCAGTCAAGAGACTTGCAGCGAAATTTCTTCAGTTATGGTAGAAGAAACAGAAGCATCACCTTCATCTCACGATAAAGACAAAGAAAGCCGTGGTACCCGGCAGCGCGTTCAGAAGAAGATGAAGATGAAGAGGAAGAAGAAGGGATTGAGAGACCATCTGTAAAAGGGAGGAGTAAGGAGATCCTCAAATTCTTGCATTCATTGTTTTCGTGAAAGAATTGTACATCATGGAACTCCTTGTAATGTCGACGCTGGGCTTTTCTCCCACCTGTATGCAGTTGCTGCTGAATTTCAGGGGATGTGATTTGAACTACAGAACATCAGAATTCACAAAACTTAACTGTGGAGGTATTTTGAATATAAAATTTAAGTACAACAACATTTGCTTATTTTTAGAGTCTTTTATGACATCAAGAGAAATGGTCCCAGAAAGAAAAAACCAAGAAAAAGAATCTGATGATGCCTCAACTGTGAATGAAGAGACTTCTGAGGAAAATAATGAAATGGAGGAATCTGATGTGTCTCAAGCTGAGAAAGATTTACTACATTCTGAAGGTAGTGAAAACGAAGGCCCTGAAAGTAGTGGTTCTTCTGACTGCCGTGAAACAGAAGAATTAGTAGGATCCAATTCCAGTAAAACTGGAGAGATTCTTTCAGAATCATCCATGGATAATGATGACGAAGCCACAGAAGTCACCGATGAACCACTGGAACAAGACTATTTAGAAACATTTACATGCAGTATTTTACACACAGTTCTGGTTTTAACACTGTATAAAACTTTTATGTAAAAAAGTGCACCTTTAGTTTTACAAGTAAAGCAGGTTGTAAAATAAAGTACTTTATGGATAATTCCTGAAAGAGTTGTACATGTAAGAACTGTGAATATCAGCTCCTCTGGGTCCTGCTTACCTTACCGCTGATTTCTCTTTCTTTCTTTCTTTCTTTCTTTCTTTCTTTCTTTGCTCTGGGCAAATCAGTGGTTTGTGTATAGATTTTTTTTTTTTAATTTAGGATTAAAGTTTTTAAACTGGAAAGTAATTATAATTTTGAACAGTTTTTTGAGATTATCACATTTAGTTTATACATATGCAAGAAGCTTTTTGTCTTGTGTCTTTCTGATAGCTCCAGCAGTTTTCATATTTTGGTCATAGTTTCAACATTTTAACATGTGAATAATAGAGTTTCATGCTGGTTTCCAGATTTTGTTGTTCGGATACATACAATAGAACCTTAAGTTTTATATATATATATATATTATTCTAAGGGGGAAAATGTTATATTTTTCTGTTTGTATAAGAGATAAATACAGTGGATACTTTTTCTATTGGTAATGACTGAGTTCACCTCTTTCAGAAGACATTTTCTTTCTCTTCTCAGTAACTGAAATAAAATCTGGCCTTTGTGAAACCCTGGAAATACCACAACCCTCAACTAGAAACACCAATACCAGCTCCTCCACGAGTTTCCAGCTCCACAACCTAAGACATCAGAGGCAGCATTGGTTCCTCACGTAGAGTCCAGCTCCGGGACCCTCATATTTGAACTGCAGGGCCATCTCATCCCTGGATCTCCAGCTGCACCACACTCAAATTAGAACAACATCAGCTCCTCCCCAGGTCTCCACCTGCACAGCCCTCGAATGGGAACGTCAGCTCCTCCCCGGGTCTCCAGCTGCAGGGCCCTAAAACTAGAACATCAGCTCCCGCCTGGGTCGCCAGCAGCACCACCCTCAAACTGGAACATCAGATCCCCATGGGTCTCCAGCTGCAGGGCCCTCAAACTGGAACATCAGCTCCCCACCAGATCTCCAGCTGCACGGACCTCAAACTGGAACATCAGCTCCCCGCCGGGTCTCCAGCTGCACTGCCTGCAAACTGGAACATGAGCTCCCTGCCGGGTCTCCAGCTGCATGGCCCTCAAACTGGAACATCAGCTCCCCACCAGATTGCCAGCTGCACGGCCCTCAAACTGGAATATCAGCTCCACCCCGGGGCTCCAGGTGCACAGCCCTCAACCTGCAACATCAGCTCCCCACTGGGTCTCCAGATGAACGGCCCTCAACCTGCAACATCAGCTCCCCACCGGGTCTCCAGATGCATGGCCCTCAAACTGGAACATCGGCTCCCCACCGGGTCTCCAGCTGCATGGCCTTAAACTGGAACATCAGCTCCGAAACCCTCAAACAGGAACATCAGCTCCCCACAGGGTCTCCAGCTGCACAGCCCTCAAATTGCAACATCACTTCCCCCCTGCATGTCCAGCTGCACCGCCTCAAACTGCAACATCAGCTCCCCGCTGGATCTCCAGCAGCATGGCCCTCAACCTGGAACATCAGCTCCCCCCAACCCGGGTCTCCAGCTCCACAGCCCTCAACCTGCAACACTGGCTACCCACTGGGTCTCCAGATGCATGGCCCTCAAACTGGAACATCAGCTCCACCCCCGGTATCCAGCTGCACAGCCCTCAAACTGGAACATCAGCTCCCTGCCGGGTCTCCAGGTGCACGGCCCTCAAACTGGAACATCAGCTCCCTGCCGGGTATCCAGCTGCACGGCCCTCAAACTGGAACATCAGCTCCCCACCAGGTCTCCAGCTGCACGGCCCTCATACTGGAACATCAGCTCCCCACCAGATCTCCAGCTGCACGGCTCTCAAACAGGAACATCAGCTCCCCACAGGATCTCCAGCTGCACGGCTCTCAAACAGGAACATCAGCTCCCCACCAGATCTCCAGCTGCACGGCTCTCAAACAGGAACATCAGCTCCCCACAGGATCTCCAGCTGCACGGCTCTCAAACAGGAACATCAGCTCCCCACAGGGTCTCCAGCTGCACGGCCCTCAACCTGCAACACTGGCTCCCCACCGGGTCTCCAGATGCATGGCCCTCAAACTGCAACATCAGTTCCCCCCGGGCATACAGCTGCATGGCCTTAAACTGGAACATCAGCTCCCCGCCCAGGTCTCCAGATGCATGGCCCTCAAACTGGAACATCAGTTCCCTGCCGGGTCTCCAGCTGCACGGCCCTCAAACTGGAACATCAGCTCCCTGCCAGGTCTCCAGCTGCATGGCCCTCAAATTGCAACATCAGCTCCCATCAGAGCCTCCAGCTGCATGGCCATCAAACTGGAACATCAGCTCCCCCGCGGGTCTCCAGCTGCACAGACCTCAAACTTGAACATCAGCTCCCCGCCGGGTCATCAACTGCATGGCCCTCAAACTGGAACATCAGCTCCACCCCTGGGTCTCCAGTAGCACGGCCCTACAACTGGAACATCAGCTTCCCCCTGGGTCTCCGGCTGCACAGCCCTACAACCGGAACATCAGCTCCCTGCCGGGTCTCCAGCTGCACGGCCCTCAAACTGGAACATCAGCTCCCCGCTGAGTTCAAACTATTCCAGTTTGAGGGTCGTGCAGCTGGAGACCCGGCGGGGAGCTGATGTTCCAGTCTGAGGGCCGTGCAGCTGGAGACCCGGTGGGGAGCTGAACTTCCAGTTTGAGGGCCATGCAGCTGGATACCCGGTGGGGAGCTGAAGTTCCAGTTTGAGGGCCGTGAAGCTGGAGACCCGGTGGGGAGCTGAAGTTCCAGTTTGAGGGCCGTGAAGCTGGAGACCCGGTGGGGAGCTGATGTTCCAGTTTGAGGGCCATGCAGCTGGAGACCCGGTGGGGAGCTGATGTTCCAGTCTGAGGGCCGTGCAGCTGGAGACCCGATGGGGAGCTGAACTTCCAGTTTGAGGGCCATGCAGCTGGATACCCGGTGGGGAGCTGAAGTTCCAGTTTGAGGGCCGTGAAGCTGGAGACCCGGTGGGGAGCTGATGTTCCAGTTTGAGGCCCGTGCAGCTGGAGACTCGGGGGTAGCCGATGTTGCAGTTTGAGGGCCGTGCAGCTGGAGACCCGGGTGGGAACCGATGTTCCAGTTTGGGAGCCATGCAGCTGGAGGCACTGCGGGGAGCAGATGTTCCAGTTTGATGTTCCTCCCTGGGTCTCCAGCTGCACGGCCATCAAACTGGAACATCAGCTCCCCGGCCCTCAAACCGGAACATCAGCTCCCCGCCGGATCTCCAGCTGCACAGCTGTCAACATCAGCTCCTCCCCGAGTCCTCAGCTGCACGACCCTCAAGTTAGAACATCAGCTTCTCCCCAAGTCTTCAGCTGCGTGACCCTCAATCTAGAACATCAGTTCCTCTACAGGTCTGCAGCTGCAAGACCCTCAATCTAGAACGTCAGCTCCTCCCTGAGTCTCCAGCTGAAACACCCTCAAAACGAACAACATCAGCTCCTCCCCAAGTCTTCAGCTGCACGACGCTCAATCTAGAACATCAGCTCCTGTCTGGTTCTCCAGCTGCATGACCCTCAAACTACAACCTCAGCTCTTCCCCGAGTCTTCTGCTGCATGACCCTCAATCTAGAACATAAGCTCCTCTCTCGGTGTCCACCTGTAGTGACCTCAAATTAGAACGTCAGCTCCTCCCAGAGTCTTCAGCTGCATGACCCTCAATCTTTAACATCAGCTCCTCTCCGGGTCTGCAGCTGCATGACCCTAAAAATACACGAACAGCTCCTCCCTGAATCTTCAGCTGTACGACCCTCAAACTACAACATCAGCTCCTGTCTGCATCTCTAGCTGCAGGGCCCTCAAACTAGAATATCAGCTCCTCCCCGATTCTTCGCCTGCATGACCCTCAAACTAGAACATCAGCTCCTGTACAGATTTCCAACTGTAGGGCCCTCAAACTAGAACATCAGCTCCTCCCCAAGTCAGCAGCTGCAAGACCCTCAAATTACCACCTCAGCTCCTCCCGGAGTCTTCAGCTGCACGACCCTCAATCTCGAAGATCAGATACTCTCCGGGTCTTCAGCTGTAGGGCCCTCAAACTATAACATCAGCTCCTCTCCAAGTATTCAGCTGCACGACCCTCAATCTCGAACATCAGCTCCTCTTCAGGTCTGCAGCTGTAGGGCCCTCAATCTAGAACATCAGCTCCTCCCTGAGTCTTCTGCTGCACGACCCTCAAACTAGAATCTCAGCTCCTCCCGAGTCTTCAGCTGCACGACCCTCAAACTAGAACCTCAGCTCCTCCCTGAGTCTTCAGCTGCATGACCCTTAATCTAGAACATCAGCTCCTCCCCGAGTCTTCAGCTGCACGACCCTCAATCTAGAACATCAGCTCCTCTCCAGGTTTGCAGCTGCAAGACCATCAAACTACAACATCAGCTCCTCTCCAGGTCTGCAGCTGCAAGACCCTCAAACTAGAACATCAGTTCCTCCCCGAGTCTTCATCTGCATGACCCTCAAACTAGAACATCAGCTCCTCTCCAGGTCTCCAGCTGCACGACCCTCAAAGTAGAACATCAGCTCCTCTCCGGGTCTGCAGCTGCAAGATCCTCAAACTAGAACATCAGCTCCTCTCCAGGTCTGCAGCTGCAAGACCATCAATCTAGAACATCAGCTCCTCTCCAAGTGTGCAGCTGCACGACCCTCAATCTAGAACATCAGCTCCTCTCCAGGTCTGCAGCTGCAAGAACCTCAAACTAGAACATTAGCTCCTCTCCAGGTCTCCAGCTGCACGACCCTCAAACTAGAACATCAGCTCCTCTCCAGGTCTGCAGCTCCACGACCCTCAATCTAGAACATCAGCTCCTCCCCGGGTCTTCAGCTGCATGACCCTCAATCTAGAACATCAGCTCCTCTCTGACTCTGCAGCTGGAAGATCCACTAACTAGAACATCAGCTCCTGTCTGGGTCTCCAGCTCCATGACCCTTAATCAAGATTATCAGCTCCTCCCTGAGTCCCCAGCTGAAAGACCCTCAACACGAACAACATCAGCTCCTCCCAAAGTCCTCAACTGCATGACCCTCGAACTACAACATCAGCTCCTCCCCGAGTCTTCAGCTGCATGACCCTCTATCTAGAACATCAGCTCCTCTCCAGGTCTGCAGCTGCAAGAACCTAAAATTAGAACATCAGCTCCTCTCTTGGTCTGCAGCTGGAAGATCCACTAGCTAGAACATCAGCTCCTGCCTGAGTCTCCAGCTCCATGAACCTCAGTCAAGATTGTCAGCTCCTCCCTGAGTCTCCAGCTGAAAGACCCTCAACACGAACAACATCAGCTCCTCCCGAAGTCCTCAACTGCATGACCCTCAAACTACAACATCAGCTCCACCCCGAGTCTTCAGCTGCAGGACTCTCAATCTAGAACATCAGCTCCTCTCCAGGTCTGCAGCTGCACGACCCTCAGTCTAGAACATCAGCTCCTCCCCAGGTCTGCAGCTGCACGACCCTCAATCTAGAACATCAGCTCCTCTACAGGTCTGCAGTTGCAAGACCCTCAAACTAGAACATCAGCTCCTCTCCGGATCTGCAGCTGCTAGACACTCAAACTAGAACATCAACTTCTGTCCAGGTCTCCAGTTCCGTGACCCTAAATCTAGAACATCAGCTCCTCCGAGTCTCCAACTGAAAGACCCTCAACGCGAACAACTAAAGCTCCTCCCCAAGTCTTCAGCTGCACGACCCTCAATCTAGAACATCAGCTCCTCTACAGGTCTGCAGCTGCACGACCCTCAAACTAGAACATCAGCTCCTCTCCAAGTGTGAAGCTGCACGACCCTCAATCTAGAACATCAGCTCCTCTCCAGGTCTGCAGCTGCAAGAACCTCAAACTAGAACATTAGCTCCTCTCCAGGTCTCCAGCTGCACGACCCTCAAACTAGAACATCAGCTCCTCCCCGGGTCTGCAGCTGCACGACACTCAAACTAGAACATCAGCTCCTCTCCAGGTCTGCAGCTGGGAGACCCTCAAACTAGAACATCAGCTCCTCCCCGGGTCTGCAGGTGCAAGACCCTCAATCTAGAACATCAGCTCCTCTCCAGGTCTGCAGCTGCAAGAACCTAAAACTAGAACATTACCTTCTCTCCAGGTCTCCAGTTCTATCACCCTAATTCTAGAACATCAGCTCCTCCCTGAGTCTCCAACTGAAAGACCCTCAATGCAACAACATCAGCTCCTCCCCAAGTCTTCAGCTGCAAGACCCTCAAACTAGAACATCAGCTCCTCCCCGGGTCTGCAGCTGCAAGACCCTCAATCTAGAACATCAGCTCCTCTCCAGGTCTGCAGCTGCAAGACCCTCAATCTAGAACATCAGCTCCTCTCCGGGTCTGCAGCTGCATGACCCTCAATCTAGAATATCAGCTCCTCTCCAGGTCTGCAGCTGCACGACCCTCAATCTAGAACATCAGCTCCTCCCCGGGTCTTCAGCTGCATGACCCTCAAACTAGAACATCAGCTCCTCTCCGGGTCTGCAGCTGCACGACCCTCAATCTAGAACATCAGCTCCTCTCCGGGTCTGCAGCTGCATGACCCTCAATCTAGAACATCAGCTCCTCTCCGGGTCTGCAGCTGCATGACCCTCAATCTAGAACATCAGCTCCTCTCCGGGTCTGCAGCTGCATGACCCTCAATCTAGAACATCAGCTCCTCCCCGGGTCTTCAGCTGCATGACCCTCAAACTAGAACATCAGCTCCTCTCCAGGTCTGCAGCTGCACGACCCTCAATCTAGAACATCAGCTCCTCCCCGGGTCTTCAGCTGCATGACCCTCAAACTAGAACATCAGCTCCTCTCCAGGTCTGCAGCTGCACGACCCTCAATCTAGAACATCAGCTCCTCTCCGGGTCTGCAGCTGCATGACACTCAAACTAGAACATCAGCTCCTCCCCGGGTCTTCAGCTGCATGACCCTCAAACTAGAATATCAGCTCCTCTCCAGGTCTGCAGCTGCACGACCCTCAAACTAGAACATCAGCTCCTCTCCGGGTCTGCAGCTGCATGACACTCAATCTAGAACATCAGCTCCTCCCCGGGTCTGCAGGTGCAAGACCCTCAATCTAGAACATCAGCTCCTCTCCAGGTCTGCAGCTGCAAGAACCTAAAACTAGAACATTACCTTCTCTCCATGTCTCCAGTTCTATCACCCTAATTCTAGAACATCAGCTCCTCCCTGAGTCTCCAACTGAAAGACCCTCAACGCAACAACATCAGCTCCTCCCCAAGTCTTCAGCTGCAAGACCCTCAAACTAGAACATCAGCTCCTCCCCGGGTCTGCAGCTGCAAGACCCTTAATCTAGAACATCAGCTCCTCTCCAGGTCTGCAGCTGCAAGACCCTCAATCTAGAACATCAGCTCCTCTCCGGGTCTGCAGCTGCATGACCCTCAATCTAGAACATCGCTCCTCTCCAGGTCTGCAGCTGCACGACCCTCAATCTAGAACATCAGCGCCTCCCCGGGTCTTCAGCTGCATGACCCTCAAACTAGAACATCAGCTCCTCTCCAGGTCTGCAGCTGCACGACCCTCAATCTAGAACATCAGCTCCTCCCCGGGTCTTCAGCTGCATGACCCTCAAACTAGAACATCAGCTCCTCTCCAGGTCTGCAGCTGCACGACCCTCAATCTAGAACATCAGCTCCTCTCCGGGTCTGCAGCTGCATGACACTCAAACTAGAACATCAGCTCCTCCCCGGGTCTTCAGCTGCACGACCCTCAAACTAGAACATCAGCTCCTCTCCAGGTCTGCAGCTGCACGACCCTCAATCTAGAACATCAGCTCCTCCCCGGGTCTTCAGCTGCATGACCCTCAAACTAGAACATCAGCTCCTCTCCAGGTCTGCAGCTGCACGACCCTCAATCTAGAACATCAGCTCCTCCCCGGGTCTTCAGCTGCATGACCCTCAAACTAGAACATCAGCTCCTCTCCAGGTCTGCAGCTGCACGACACTCAAACTAGAACATCAGCTCCTCTCCAGGTCTGCAGCTGGGAGACCCTCAAACTAGAACATCAGCTCCTCCCCGGGTCTGCAGGTGCACAACCCTCAATCTAGAACATCAGCTCCTCTCCAGGTCTGCAGCTGCAAGAACCTAAAACTAGAACATTACCTTCTCTCCAGGTCTCCAGTTCTATCACCCTAATTCTAGAACATCAGCTCCTCCCTGAGTCTCCAACTGAAAGACCCTCAATGCAACAACATCAGCTCCTCCCCAAGTCTTCAGCTGCAAGACCCTCAAACTAGAACATCAGCTCCTCCCCGGGTCTGCAGCTGCACGACCCTCAATCTAGAACATCAGCTCCTCTCCAGGTCTGCAGCTGCAAGACCCTCAATCTAGAACATCAGCTCCTCTCCGGGTCTGCAGCTGCACGACCCTCAATCTAGAACATCAGCTCCTCTCCGGGTCTGCAGCTGCACGACCCTCAATCTAGAACATCAGCTCCTCCCCGGGTCTTCAGCTGCATGACCCTCAAACTAGAACATCAGCTCCTCTCCAGGTCTGCAGCTGCACGACCCTCAATCTAGAACATCAGCTCCTCCCCGGGTCTTCAGCTGCACGACCCTCAAACTAGAACATCAGCTCCTCTCCAGGTCTGCAGCTGCACGACCCTCAATCTAGAACATCAGCTCCTCCCCGGGTCTTCAGCTGCATGACCCTCAAACTAGAACATCAGCTCCTCTCCAGGTCTGCAGCTGCACGACCCTCAATCTAGAACATCAGCTCCTCTCCGGGTCTGCAGCTGCATGACCCTCAAACTAGAACATCAGCTCCTCCCCGGGTCTTCAGCTGCATGACCCTCAATCTAGAACATCAGCTCCTCTCCAGGTCTGCAGCTGCACGACCCTCAATCTAGAACATCAGCTCCTCTCCGGGTCTGCAGCTGCATGACCCTCAAACTAGAACATCAGCTCCTCCCCGGGTCTTCAGCTGCATGACCCTCAATCTAGAACATCAGCTCCTCTCCAGGTCTGCAGCTGCACGACCCTCAATCTAGAACATCAGCTCCTCTCCGGGTCTGCAGCTGCATGACCCTCAAACTAGAACATCAGCTCCTCCCCGGGTCTTCAGCTGCATGACCCTCAAACTAGAACATCAGCTCCTCTCCAGGTCTGCAGCTGCACGACCCTCAATCTAGAACATCAGCTCCTCTCCGGGTCTGCATCTGCACGACCCTCAAATGAGAACATCAGCTCCTCCCCGGGTTTGCAGGTGCACGACACTCAATCTAGAACATCAGCTCCTCTCCGGGTCTGCAGGTGCACGACCCTCAATCTAGAACATCAGCTCCTCTCCAGGTCTGCAGCTGCACGACCCTCAATCTAGAACATCAGCTCCTCTCCGGGTCTGCAGCTGCATGACCCTCAAACTAGAACATCAGCTCCTCCCCGGGTCTTCAGCTGCATGACCCTCAAACTAGAACATCAGCTCCTCTCCAGGTCTGCAGCTGCACGACCCTCAATCTAGAACATCAGCTCCTCCCCGGGTCTGCAGCTGCACGACCCTCAATCTAGAACATCAGCTCCTCTCCAGGTCTGCAGCTGCACGACCCTCAATCTAGAACATCAGCTCCTCCCCGGGTCTGCAGCTGCACGACCCTCAATCTAGAACATCAGCTCCTCTCCAGGTCTGCAGCTGCATGACACTCAAACTAGAACATCAGCTCCTCCCCGGGTCTGCAGCTGCATGACACTCAAACTAGAACATTAGCTCCTCCCCAGGTCTGCAGCTGCAGGACCCTCAAGGTAGAACATCAGCTCTTCCCCGAGCTAAAACACCTCTCCCACCTGGATCTCCAGCTCCACGAGTCTCACAGAACAGCCACACTGGCTCCTTCGTTGTCTTCAGCTCCACAACCTAAGACATCAGTGGGAGCACCGGCTCCTCCCTGGACCTCCAGCTCAACGACTCTCATAGACTTAAAAGGCAGCACCTGCTCCTCCCCAAGGCTCCATCTCCACCACCCTCAGATTTGAACAGCGGTAGCACCACCTCCTCTCCAGGTCTTCAGCCCCACGTCCCTCCCTGAACAATCCCTTCTCATGAAATTCAGCAGTCAAGAAATCTGCAGCGGAAGTAAATGAATAAATGTTTTGTTTTCAAATTGATATCTCTTTTATGTTCATGAGTTAACTTTTCTACTTTCCATTAGCCTTGCAATCTACTTATGTCCAAGGTGAAACAGAAACACACCATTTGAAATCACGTTTAAAAACTTAGTAATGTTTTTCAATAAAATCATCACACAGCTGTAGACACGATCTTATTTCTCTCTGCCTGTGCAGAAGTCTTATGAAAATTCAAACTATGAATTTACTTTGTTGAGATTCCCAGAATACACATTAATCCCAACTGTTACTCCCCTCCTTAAAATCTTTTAACACATTCCCATCACCTGAGCATAAATGCCAGCTCCCATCCACAGCCCAAAGTGCCCAGCACGGCCCTGCCCTTTGCCCTGGTCTATGGTCTCCCCTCTTAAATGCCAGCACCATCCACAGCCCACACTGCCCAGCACGGCCCTGCCCTCTGCCCTGCCCTCTGCTGTGGCCTAAGGTCTCTCCCCTGTGCCGTTCCCTTCCTGACGGACAGGCCTCTGTCCGTTCCTCAAACCACACAGGCTCAGGCCTGACTCCAGGCCTTTGCGCTTCTGTGCCCTCTGCCTAGGGTGCCTTTCCCGGGTTCTGCATCCTCCTCTCAACCCGCTGAGCTCCAGCCTGCTGGTCGCCCGTCAGGTGGATGAACACACGGTGTCCTCTCGCCCCACCAGCTTTTGCACAGGCTCTTCTCTGTGCCAGACACAAACCCTCTATCGGGGTTTACTCTCTAAATACCATTCATCCTTGGAGTCTCCACTGAAATATCGCTCCCTGCCCACCCCCCTCACTTGGACTTAACCTTGGTTAGGTTGCCAACCCCCGTCTCCTGACTCCGGGAAGCTAGATGCTCTCCTAGCACTCGGAACTTGCCCATCGCCACATTTGCACACCCGTGGTTACTGGGTTAGGTTGGCGCACAAGTCATCGCGGGTTTTGCCATTACTATTAATGAACTGCAGCAACGGCTCCTCCCCGTTTCTTTTTTTTTTTTTTTTGCCATCACTTTTAATGACTGCTGCACCAACCTATTAGAATCATTTATATTTATCCATCCATCATCTGCCTTCCCCTCTAGAAAGGAAGCTCCATGAGAATAGAGGCCAAATCTACTCAAATCACTCCACCTTCCCAGCACATTGTTTGTCAATAATCATTTACCAACTGACTGATAGAGAAATGCCTTCCCTGTTGCTGGGATGAGGCACATGACACGCCCCTTTGAAAGTCAATTCCATGGACAGTTAGCATTTGCTCTTCACTCCTGCACCCATGGCGTGGCTGGGCTTAGGCTGATCTAGTCTGGCCTTGACTCCAGGCTAAGCATGGGAACCATGCCTGCTCCACATGCCTCTCATCCCACAGCCAGAGCGGCCGTTCCCTGGGGCACGTGCATCTCATGGGGAAAATCAAGAACCTTAGAGGGCAGGCCTGGCAGTGCCCACACATTCCAGGCTTCTGCTTGTGCCGTGTCTGTGAAAATCTCGTTGGCAGAAGCAAGTCACCCAGCCACGAGCAACACCTATGGGATGGATAAGTCCATCCACCCTCCCTCGGGCCCTGGAAAGGTTGTGGCTATGTCATACTCTTACGGGGGGAGTGAAAAATTGAGGCCCAACATTAAATCACCCAGGCAAGAAATGTCAGCCTCTGTCCCCACGCTGGAATCATTCTTCACCAGCAGGTTTGCCTGAATTCCCTTTGCAATGGTGTCTGCAGGTTTAGCCCAATGCTGGTCCCCGTGGAGGACACAGAAGCCTCAATGGGCCTCCGTCTGTTGGGAAGAACAAGATATTAGCTTGGCGCAAAACCACCGCAAGCCCCAGGGGGCCCTTGTGCCATGAGACAGGAGAGGGGCAGAGAACTGTGGGAACTCAGGAAAGCTCACATCCCCAGCCCCTCCCGTGCATCCCCAGCCCCTCCGCTGTGACCCCATCACCAGCCCTCTCCCCTGCTTGCCCCATCTCTGCTTTCTTTTTTTCATTTTCTTTCTTTCCTTGTTTTTGAGACAGGGTCTGGCTGTGTCACTCAGGCTGGAGTGCAATGGCACGATCTCAGCTTACTGCAACCTTCACCTCCTGGGCTGAAGCAATTCTCCCTCCTCAGCCTCCCCAGTGGCTGGGACTACAGGTGCACGCCACCATACCCAGCTAATTTTTTTTTTTTTTTTTTGTAGAGACAGGATTTGCCATGTTGCCCAGGCTGGTCTCAAATTCCTGAGCTCAAGTAATCCTCCCACCTCAGCCTCCCAAAGTGCTGGGATTACAGGCATGAGCCACCGAGTCCAACCTACTTTATTTTTCTCTACAGTACTTGGAACCTTCTAATGTACTAAGGACACGTGTATTTTCTTTCTTTTTTGTCTTCCCTAGAACAGGAGCTTAATGTGGGCAGGTATTTTTGTTGATCTCATTTATCACCCTCTCCCCAGTGCCTGGAACAGGGTCTGGCACATGAATGGTGTGTTCTAAATAAATATTTTTAATAGATAAATAAATGAAATATCCTACAAAAGAAAGCTATATCTGGAACTCACCCATCAACAGAACCTAAAAGCCAAAGACCTTGAGCCTGTCTCTGCCTCTGAACACACCCAACCCCGGAGGAGCCAGCAGAGGAAAAAGAGGAACAAAGGCGGGGAAGGGAGCAGGTGGTGCCCACCAAGTAAGGAACCCTGAGGCTTAGGCCGAGCCTGAGCTGGAGAAGGGACTCATCTAGGAACTGGGTATGAGATTAAAGTTTAGATTTGTCTGGCCTGGATTCTGTAACACCTAAACAAGAGTTATTCTATTCTTTTTTTTTGAGATGGAGTCTCACTGTCCCCCAGGCTGCAGTGCAGTGGCGCAATCTCAGCTCACTGCAACCTCTGCCTCCCAGGTTCAAGTGATTCTCATGCCTCAGCCTCCCGAGTAGCTGGGATTACAGGCACACACCACCATTCCCGGCTAATTTTGTATTTTTAGTAGAGATAGAGTTTCACCATGTTGGCCCCCTGGCTCACGCCTGTAATCCCAGCACTTTTGGAGGCTGAGGTGGGTGGATCACGAGGTCAGGAGATTGAGACCATCCTGGCTAACACGGTGAAACCCCGTCTCTACTAAAAATACAAAAAATTAGCTGGGCGTGGTGGCAGGTGCCTGTAGTCCCAGCTACTCAGGAGGCTGAGGCAGGAGAATTGCTTGAACTCCAGATGCAGAGGTTGCAGTGAGCCAAGATCAATGCCACTGCACTCCAGCCTGGGTGACAGGGCAAGCCTTCATCTCAAAAACAAACAAACAAACAAACAAAAAACCTTCAAACGAATGTAAGAATTATTATTTTTTAAAGTACAACTTTAAAAATGCCCCTTACAAATACATCAGTGTTATATTAAGGGAAACCCACTTCAGAAGCACAAAGTTAATTTCTTATAATTCCAAGAAATATGTGAATGTTAAAAAAAACCCAAACACCCGAAAAGGGATCAATCTCAAGATAGTTTGTAACATTTTATTGCAAAAAGAAGGGCAGAGAACAGTCTTCTTCATACCTGTTCACCGCAGTAATTTTTAGCAGCTCTCCTGTGCAAAGAAGTCTCATCAATCAATCAGCATACGGGCCACAAATACCTTCTCAGTGCGGTTTCACCTACAATACAAGCACTCAGAAGCACAAATTTAACTGAAGTGAGAAACCAGGCCATTTTGTAGCTTCAGTTTTTCTACCAGTAATATATTAATTTCTTGAAATAGCCTAATAATTTAGTTCTACTATCAAAACAGAAGGCCAATCTGGGAGAACAATTATTATACAAGTCAAACTAATTTCAATCATATTAGTATAGGAATTCATATTAGTATAGGCTAATAATTCATATTAGTAGAGGCGGGAGGATCGCTTGAGCCTAGGAGTTTGAGACCAGCCTGGGCAAGACAGTGAGACTCCATCTCTAATTTTTTTTTTTAAATAAAGAACTTCAGAGAGGAGAAGGAAGCGGATTGATATGTGTCTATCCAAGGACAAATTTTGTGTGCCTGTACATACAACACAACTATGAACCTTCCTTCACGCAGCTCACAATCTAGTAGCGAGAGGAAAGTACAAAAACATGAGCCCCCACGATGAGGAAAAAGGCGCATATCAGAGAAAAGAAAAATGCTGCGATGATCCAATGGCAGGAGCAGCGTGCATCCACTTTCTTTGTTTTTTTGAGATGGGGTTTCGCTCTGTCTCCCAGGCTGGAGTGCCGTGGCTTGATCTCAGCTCAATGCAGCCTCAACCTCCCAGGCTGAAGTGATCTTCCCATCTCAGCCTCCCAAGTAGCTAGAACTACAGGCGTGCACCACTACACGTTTACTTTTTGTAGAAACAGGGTCTCACAATGTTGCCAAGGCTGGCATCCTGAAGGGCGGGTGGGGCTTCATCCTACAGAGATGAAAGGCAGAAGAAGCTCAGAGCCCAAAGCAAAGGGGTGGAGGACAAGGGCGTCTTCAGAACAGAGTGGCTCGGCTGAGACATCCAGTAGGATGCCACCAGGCAGAGGTGTGGTGGAAAAACACAGGGCCACAGGGTGAATGCTCACATGTGAGGAGCAAACCACCACAGAACACAACAGAAACACGGTGTACTAAATCAGGCTTCAAATCGCAGCCCTGCAACTTCAGAGCTACCACAGGTAACCCAGAAAGGGAGCACGGACAGCACCGCCCACTGCCTGAGGCTATGAGATGGACCAGAAACCTGTGCTTACTAACAACCTGCCTTATTCCAGAAGGAATTCAGGAAACACAAAGACACTCACAGTACAGCAAAATAAAGTAAATGTGAATCATGTTGGCTGAGGAGAAAGTGAAGAGTCTAAGACTATGTCATAAAGTTTACCTCTACTCTAAACTCTCATTACTGGTGAGCCACCAATCTGACTTTAAGTTTTCTAGCAGCTAAATTGAAGAGGAAAATGTAATCAGGTAAAGGTTTATAAGATGCAAACAAAACAGGACAGCCACCACAGTTGCTGAGAACACGCGCAGCTCCAGCTCCAGGAGAAACAGGGTGGCCATCTCCTGGGGCTGCCCCGCAGCAGGCATGTGAGCCCCAAAGCCAGCGTCTCTCAGGGTGAACGGTGACTATGGGCTTCATGGGGCCACACACCTCCAGTACAAGCTGAGGAAATCTCCCAGGGCAATTCAAGGAACAGGGTCTCACAATGTTGTCCAGGCTGGTCTCAAACGATGCCCCTGCCTCGGCCTCCCAAAGTGTTGGGAGGTCAGACGTGAGCCACTGCATCTGGCCCCGCACGCACTTTATAGAGGAGGGCTTTGCATCCTGTACAGCGGGTGGGGCTTCATCCTGCAGAGATGAAAGGCAGAGGAAGCTCAGAGCCCAAGGTAAAGGGGGGCGCCTAACAAAAGCGACTCCATTGGGACCACGGTGAGAGGGTCCCCATACACAGCTTGGGTTAAGTCAGACACTGATTTCAAAGTGTCTCAGGAATGGTGGACTCAGCACCTGTCAGGCAATTCTCTCTCTCAAGCAGGCTCCTGGTAGATATTTAGTAGCAGCTGAAATCAAGATTATGTTCTGACTGACACTTGCTGATGGTTAAAGAGCTATATACACTTTGAGGACCAGCTGAACTTGGGCAGAACTAACACCCTCTGGTGAAAATACGGGAACCCAAACACACGAGTCAGAGCAGGAGGTGTCTCCCCCACCCCCAAACAATAACGCTGACCTTGGATTTGGGTTAAGTGCCTAGCCCAGGGGTGTGAGTGTTCAGGAAGTGGAAACCATCATCACCATCATCAGGTAATGGAAAACTATCAAAGCTTTGAGCTGGCTTGTTAGCCAAGAATAGTAGTAGTGTATTAGCTACTACTAATACTCACAGCTGACAATTACTGAGCACTTGCTCTGTGCCAGGAATCACGGAAGCACCTCGCATGCATTTCCTCAATACTCCCTCCCAGTAACGGCGAGGACACAAAACTGGTAGAGCCAGGACTGGAATCCAGGCAGGCCCCAAGGCACTCCAGTGGAGCCTGCCAAGGAGGGCAGGCTACCATGCTAATGAGGTCCAGTATTTGACCACCACTCCTAGTTGAGCAAGTTTAACAGAAAACCTAAAACTAAACTTAAAATCTAAAAATTTGAGCAAATGCATAAAAAGCAGCTGTTAAAATGGATCATAAATCTTGCATCACTCGCTGGAAAACCACTCAAAATAAACGTCTCTGAGACATGGCCTCTGAGGAGGGCACTCCGTGTGGCTCGTGTCACCCTGGTGACAAACCACGTGAACCTGGGTGGTCACCTGACCATATTGAACAGACGATGCACAGAGCCATTTGCATCCACTGTGGTCAACATTTAGGAAGTTTTAAGCTAAGATTTGCCAAATTGTAGCCTACTGGATTCCGGTTCTCTTGACATCTCTTTCTAGTAGCCATGTCTTGCACTTCCCGAGTATAAACGAACTGAGATGCAAATTAAAAAAGGGAGGATTTAAGAATAATGAAAAGAGAAAAATCAAGAAAGCACAATCACTAGTGTAGAGATAACAGAATTTCTGAATTCCCTGAAAACAATCTATATAAATGCATGTGAAATAATACACCAGCATCTGTGGCCCATACGTCACATATTAGGAACTGATAACATAAGGTAAACATGTTACTCTGAAAACACAAATCCTCACAAATCATTAGGCAGTAAGACTGAATCCAGCACCTCCCCCACCCACAGCGCAGTGAGGCAGTGTCTAGCAGCCGTAGTGCTCCCCGCGCCCCAGTTCAGTCTCTGGCAACATCAGATACTTCCCACTAATAACGAGGAGCCTTTCAACATTTTCACAACATCTCAAAACTGACCCCTTTTCTAGCTTAAATGGCACGGATCTGGAAAGGCAAACTACACACAGAATCAGAAAAGATGACTGCCCCTGAGGGATTACAGAAAAAGCAGCAGTCAGGTGTTCAATGAAGTAAAATGTATCCAATGATAGCTCAGGGGAGGGGGATCAATTGAGCTGAAACTGGCAAGAACGTAACTCCAGGGAGCTCACAACACGCAAGGACCCGGATTTCCCGCTGCCTGAACGCCCAATATTCGCACACTGATAAGAACGCCTCCCCATAACTCCCCTGCCAGCGCCTCCAACACCCCCAATCCTTTCCCCAGGAACCCAGTCCCAGTTTCTGCAGTTCCTGTAACAGCCACGTTCCCACACAAGTGCTGCCTGAGCTCCCCAAGCCCTCCAACAATCACCCCCCAGTGCCCTCGAAGGTCTATTCAGAGAAGTCACCAAGATGCAGTCACCCAGGAAATTCAAGGACCCCCAACTTACCAAAAGGCTTTCGGCTGGACAGAGCTAACCTTCCTATTCCCCTCCTAAACCTACAACCTAGTTTTCATTTCTCAAGAAGCCTTTCCCTGTGCTCACGCACGCCGTTGTTAGCTGGCTCGGTGAGGCACTCCAAGCAGTAACAGCGGTAGCCACAGAATAAACCAGAAGCATCTCCACCATGAAGCAGTAATAATAATTTGCCCTAATGATTCCTTTGTCCTTGGAAAATCAACTTCAGAAAGAAAGTTATCCACTGTGAGCAGGGCAGGCTCGCGGCTTCTTGGTCCGGAGACCCAGGTCCCACTGGCCCACTCACCCTTGGAGAGAGCTTGCCGAAGCTGGGTGTCCGATATCACTCCACTCCTCTCTATCAACCCTATAACATCAAGAAGACCAAACAAGCTGGCGATCGAAAGTTCAGGAAAAGCAAAACAAACGTCTCCTGTCAACCCTGCACCGACTCTGGAAGGCTCCCTCCTGGAACCTCCGCCTCTCCGGTCCCGCTGACGAGTACAGCGGAATCAAGGAAGTGCCCCAGGAGCCACGTCCAAGTGTGTTCTTCCCCTAAGAGGCCAATCATCTTTCTCTCTCTTTTCCCACCTCAATCCTTCCCTTCCTTCCCCTCCTGACCTGTCTGAATTCCCATTTGCACCAGTTTCCCTTTTTCACAGACAAGACAAGATTCCCTCAGATAACTAAGCCATTCCCTGGCCATGAGTTACTACAGTTTCGGTCATTCATTCAGTGGAAAAGCGACCAGGGACAGAAGGCGCCGCCATAAAGGTCACCTGGCCCGAGCAGACGCCAGGTCGCTGCTTCTTCCTTGGCTGCTGACATTTTAACAGCGGCCCAGACAGTCTGTTTCCGCTTTCCCCAAACAAGCACCCTGGAGACCCTCCCCCGACGGCTCGAGGCGAGAAACAGGGCCTGGCCCAGGAGCCGGTGGCCGCGACCTCGGGTCTGCAGTGGCGCCCTCTGCACCTTGGGAAGGGCCCGACGCACAGGACAGGGACCGGGCAGGAGGCAGGGGCGGCCCCAGGAGACCGGGCAGCGGACGGGGGAGACCGCGGGGGACCCGGAAGGGGATGGGGGCGGCCGCGGGGGTCGGGGCAGGGGATGGGGGCGGCCGCGTCGGTCGGGGTAGGGTTCGGGGGCGCCCGCGGGGGTCCGGGCAGGGGCGGGGGAGACGGCGGAGGTCGGGGCAGGGGACGGGGGAGGCCGCTGGGGACCCGGCAGGTGACGGGGGAGGCCGCGGGGCAACCGGCAGGGAACGGGGTTGGCCGCGGGGGTCGGGACACGGGTCCGGGGCAGCTGCGGGGGAGGCGGGAGGTGCCGGGGCGGTGCCAGGTGGCAGCTCTGGAAGACGTTCCACAGGAAGCTCTGGTCGGGCAGCGCCGCGCCCGCAGCAGGCCCAGGGCCGCCCAAGGCCGGGGCGGTAGGAGTAGGCGGCCAAGGGCCAAGGCGCGCGGCTGGGCTGAGGCACCTGCGGCCACGGGCGACCTCAGAGCGACTGTGCTTCCGCCTCTGCCGGGGGCAGGGCCAGGCGTTACCGCCGCTTCCGGGGGCGCAGGAAATGCGCGTTGTCCGGGATCCTCCGGCGCAGGCCACCTGCGCGCGGGGCCGGGAAGGCGCTTGGAGGAAATGTCCCGCGCCGCGACCCGGGACAGGCAGTGATGGAGCAGGGATTTCGTTTGCCTTTTAGTTCTTGTATAAAAAGAAGTTTTGACGTGAATGTGATTCACGCTAACAGTCGGAAACTCTGGGCGGGGCGCGGTAGCTCACACCTGGGATCCCTGCGCTTTGTGAGGCGGAGGCGGGCGGAGCTCTTGAGCCCAGCAGTGCGGACCAGCCTGGGCAGCGGGGCTAGACCCCATCCCTACAAAAATTACAGCAAGTAGTCGGGCGTGGTGGCCTCCTGTGGTCCCATGTACTCCGTGGGCTGAGGCGGGAGGATCGCCTGAGCCCGGGAGGTCGAGGCCGCAGGGAGCCGAGATCACTGCAGCTCCAGCCCGGTGGACAGCGAGACTCTGCAAAAAAAAAAAAAAAAGCAAGCAGGCCGGGTGCGGTGGCTGACGCGTGTAATCCCAGCACTTTGGGAGGCCGAGGCCGGTGGATCACCTGAAGTCAGGAGTTCGAGACCAACCTGGCCAATATGGAGAAACCCAGTATCTACTAAAAATACAAAATTAGCCGGGCGTGGTGGCGCACGCCTGTAATCCCAGCTACTCGGGACGCTGAGGCAGGAGAATTGCTTGAACCCGGGAGGCGGAGGTTGCAGTGAGCCGAGATCAGGCCATTGCACTCCAGGCCTGGGCAACAAGAGCAAAACTCCGTCTCAAAAAAAAAAAAAAAAAAAAAAAAAAAAAGGCAAAGCACAATTCGGGTGGGAAGGGCAGTGTGCAGCGTTCTCCGTTGTCTGTTCCGCCCCCAAAAGCTTCCCTCCTTTAGGTTTAACCTGCGCCCCCGCGCTCTGCATCAGCGCGGTCCCCGACCCCGTGCAGTTGGAAACACTGGGCGCCTCCCTGCCGGGCCCCTTCCCGCCCCTGTGGTGGTGCAGCCCTGCCTCCCGCAAGACAGCACTGCCTTCGTGCTGGACACAGTTCTATGGTGGAGCCTGGAGTGCCTGTAGCACAAATCCCGGAGTTGGGAAGTGCCCACCTTTGGGCCAGTGTGATCCCTGGGTCTTTCCCGGGGTGGTCTCATGCGGCCTTCCACTCCAGTCCTGTGTCCTGTGCCCCGGTTCAGAATACTACAATTATTCTCGTTATTTCATGGGGTTATTCCAGCTTTTCAGTTTCGTCAGTGCCTCATTCCATGAATGCTAACTTTTTTCATCCTCATAGTTCCTAGGGTTGTCTCTGAATTTTCACCCAGTTGCCTACCAAGATGTTGTCTGTGTCTAATGCAGGGGACGGTGCAGGTCTGAATATCTTACCCACAGCTCACCTTTTTGGTGCCTTTGATCCGTGTTAGGAATTATCCACATCTTCTCTCTGGGCAGTATTCTACTTTCTTTTTCTATTGACCCAATTATTTTACTTCTTTGGTGTGTCCTTTCTCCTAACACATACAGGTTCACTTTGAAACCTTGAAACCCACATTTACAAAAACATTTTCAATATGAAACATTGTTCCATGACTCATTACTGGAGTACCATCAACATTTACATTTCCAGACCACCCACTGCCCAGTGGTTTTCTTGGTCTCAGTACTCATGAAAACGGTCTGAAGGTTTGTTTTGGGTTCCTAAGTAGTAGACACACGCACAACACTGCCTGTCAGTTATTTCTTGGAAACTAAATCAGCCCTTCTGTTGCCATCCTATCATGCTTCAGGGGTGCCTGTGCTAGTTTTTAATTCTTTGTTCTAACACTTAAATGTTTGCTCAAACACCCATATTAATACTTCCTCTTAGTTTACAAAAGGATTTACTTTCTTACTGGTTGGGATGAAGCTGCTTGAGGTTGCCACCTGTTATTTTTCCTTCATTTATTGGACCATGTCATCCCATTACATGTCAGCCGTGGAGGTTTTCAAACTGTGGTCCCTGGACATGTTAAAAATGCAAATTCTCAGGCTGAACCAGGACTGAATTGGAAGATCTGGGGTAGGGTCCCCCTAGGACTGAATCAGAAGATCTGGGAGGGTCTGGTGCTGTGCACCCCGACATTCCCTCACTACCCCACTGCCTCTCCCTGCCCTGTGGTCACCACAGCAGCCGCCTCTGCAACCTTGACTATCAGCATGCAGGTCCCAGGGCTCGGGGGTCTCCTAACCCGTGCACCCCGACATCCCCCTCACTACCCCACCGCCTCTGCCTGGCTCTGCCTCTGCGTGGCTCCTCTCCTGCTGCCCCCAGAAGGTTTTTGTAAAGCCCGACTCAGGGCGTGCATGGCCTCTCCCTCTCCCACACATGGTTTCCCCATCCCCTCCACCTCAGCAAACACACAGCACATCCAGGAGCCACGTGGGACCACAGTGTCCCATGGCCGGTCCCCGAGATCCCTTGGATGTCTCACTCTGGTGAGCCCCTCGCTCCAGTGCCCTCCAGGAAGCCCCCGTCTCCCCATACAGAAGGGATCTCTTCCCTCCTGAGCCATCGGTGCCCGACCCTCCCTCTCCTCTGTCGCCCCATTTGTGGCAGGTCAGCCACACCCGTGAGCCCCGGAGCTCCGTGAAGGCCGTCACGGCTCCTTATGACGGCGCCCAAACAGTGCAGGCAGCCGGAAGCTGTTCCCTGATGAAAGAAAGGAAGAGGAAAGGAGGAGGGAGGGAAGAAGGCCTTTTCTTGTCCCGAGAGACTTCTGTAGGAATTTTTGGGTGATACTGAGCATGGTAGACCCAGGTCATCTTTCCATGAGAGGGGCCAGAGTACCGCAGGCTCAGCCGCGGTCAGGGGCTCAGGGCGCCGGGGAAGCATTCGCGTGGGCTCCCCCCACGGGCCGCCTTTGCCACCAAGACCCACTCTTCCAGCCAGGCCTTGGGCCGGCCCTGCTTTCCCTTCGGACAAGGTCTTCAGTCCACCGAGAGGATGGCCCACCTCCTGCCCCTGGGTCAGTGCGCAGCCCCAGGGAGGAGCTGTGTGAACCTGGGAGGTGCTGGGGAGCAAGGGTGCTCCACCAAGGGAGGCAGGAGGCCGGAGACCAGCCCGGCCCAGGAGGAGCCTGGCCAGGAGTCCCACCAAAGCCACTGGACCCGGGGAGCCTCCAGTGACCCAGCCTTGTAGGGTCAGCACTGTCCCTAGGACAGAGTCTGCTTCGCACACAGGTCTCGCTGTCTGTGGAGGCTGCAGGCCCCGATGCCTGGGCACACGGACTGACGGCAACCCTCGGGGTGGGAGGCCCCAGATGGGACTTCCTGGCCTGCCCGGGGTGGCGGGGGGGCGGGTGGGAGAGGACGGAGCGTCTGTGTGCATGTGTGAGAGCCTCAAGGACGGCATGTCTGTGAAGATGGCTTCACCCAGCCGCGGCTGCCTTCCGTGTGTGGGCAGCGGTGACGGAGCCGTGACCTCACGGGACAGCCTTTGCCGTGTGGTTTTCCCGCCTCTGGTCCCTTTCCTGGGCTGAGGATCCTGGCTCTGGGGCTCAAGGTGTGGGGTTCGCCAGCACCGGCTCCTGCCATAGACATCCTGGTGGCCCTGGCACAGGCCTGTCCTCCAGCATGGTTCCTAGACCCACCACGCAGGACTCCTAGGCCCCTGAGGGTTGGCAGGAGTGAGGCAGGCAGTCACCAACTGCCCTTGGGTGAGGCTGGTGGCCAGGGGGGGACCCAGCAGGTGCAAGCCAGGCGATCCCCAGCAGCCGCCGGAGCCCATGTCTTTCCCACCGCACAGCACAGCCAGGACATGGGGGTCAGGCCATTACTTACGCTTCTAGTCCTTACATCACCCACAACTTACCCCTGACCTGTGCCTGGCTGTGGTGCCCGCAGCCTGGGCTCCACATAAACACAGGCCAAGAAGTCCCATCTGCAGCCTCCCACCCCAAAGGTTTCCGGCAGTCCGGGCTCCCTGGGCACCGGCCCTGCAGCCCCCACAGACAGAGAGACCCGTGTGTGAAGTCCGGGATCCTCAGGCACCAGCCCTGCAGCCCCCACAGACAGAGAGACCCGTGTGTGAAGTCCGGGCTCCCCGGGCACCGGCCCTGCAGCCCCCACAGACAGAGAGACCCGTGTGTGAAGTCCGGGCTCCTCAGGCACTGGCCCTGCAGCCCCCACAGACAGAGAGACCTGTGTGTGAAGAATCCGTTTGAGGGACAGTGCTGACCCTCCAGGGCTGGGTCACGGAGGCTCCAGTGGCTTTGGTGGGACTCCTGGCCAGGCTCCTCCTGGACTGGGCCTGGGCTGGTCTCCGGCCTCCTGCCTCCCTTGGTGCAGGATCCTTGCTCCCCAGCTTCCCTGGGAAATCCGACGCCTTCTGATCCTGCATGCATCCGGCACCCCTGACGCTGGCGGAGTTGCCTTTCTGCGTGTATAGCTCCTAACAGGGCAGCACAGCCGTTCTGAAACCTCACACATCATCACTGGGGTGGCTGAGGCTGGGCCACCTGGTGTTCACCTCCTGACCCTGGAACTGTGCAGAGAACCTCTCTTCAAATAGGAGGCAGGTCTTTGTGGCTGTGTTTAAGTTAAAGATCTTGAGATAAGGAGGTCATTCTGGATTAACTCGTTGGCCCTACATGCACGGCAAGTGTCCTTACACAGAGGCAGAGGGAGGTTAGACGCAGACAGAGGAGGAGGCCTCCTGGAGACCGAGGCAGAGGTGCAGCATTGTGGCCGCGGCCCAGGGACGCCTGGAGCCACAGAAGCTGGTGGAGGTGGCAGGGTCCTCCCCTGGAGCCTCTGGAGGGAGCACGGCCCATGGACTCGATTTCAGACCCCTCCCTGCTGAGCGGGGAGAGAATGAGTCCCTGTTGTTTTGAGCTGCCCAGACTGTGGGGATCTGCCATGGCAGCTCCAGGACCCTCAGACCTTCGGCTCAGAGCCCCTCCAGCACTGAGCAAGACGACCACTCAGGGCCGCCCCTCCCCGCCCAGCCAGCATGTGCCTCGCTGCTCACCCGACCATGCAGCCCTCAGTTACAGATGCCTGCCCGGGATACGTGGGACGGGGGCTGCGGCTTCCCTGGGGACGGGGTGCGTGGAGCCTGCCTGCAGCCGTGTTCCTGTTTACGTGCTGAGTGAAGCTGGACCTGGGTGGGATGGGGCATTCTGCCCAAGGGTCTCTTGGGGGGTCCATGAGGACTGTGTTCTGACGATACTGCCCTCCTTCCTGAGGCTGCCGTGGGGCTCCATGGAGGCCATGGGGTGGTGAGGACGGAAGAACACCTAGGCTGGGCTCCTGGGACCCCAGCAGCAGCTGAAGGCACTTGGAGCACCACAATTCCCACCCACGGGCCAGGCAAGGCCAGAACCGTCCCCAAAGAAGGGAGCAAGGAGACACGGCCTTTTAGTGATAATATCATAACCAAAAAGTTCTTTAACATTTTTTCATTTTTTTCTGTCACTCAATATTTTTAAAATTATATGTCCATTTTTTAAATTATTTCACCCATCTAATCATTGCCATCTATACCAAACAAAAAAATCTATGCACCGGTGTTCACAAAGCATTTAAGATGCCTGTGAAATGTAATAAGAACTAACTGCAGCTGCACAATATTCCCTCGTATGTATGTTATCACCATGCTGACGCTGGGCACTCAGAGCATTTAAAGGTTTTTATTATAATGAATTCTGCAATGAACATCTTTCTATATAAATTTTTGTGAGTACTTTGCATTATTTCCTAAAATAAATTAGAAGAAGGAATGATGAATCGGAGAATGTAAACACTTGGAGCTTTTGAAACACACAGTTTTTATAAATTAGAGTCTGTAGTTTTAATTCAGGGAGATTGTTGTGTCTCAGAAGATATTTCACGGTGAAGTCTCACCTGACGGCACTTCCTCGTCCTCCACAGAGCCGTGTGTCTAGGGCCCGGGGTGCGGAACGGGCAGTTCTTCAACACAGTGAGCGGCAGCGGGCGTCCCGAAGGTTCTCAGGCCTTGTCTCCGTGGAGGGCATTTTGTGGCCTCTCCCAGGGCAGCCGGCAGGAGCCAGGCGAGAACAGATGCGTCTGTAGCAGGAGGGCGTTGATGCCTCTGAGGTTGTAGCGAGGTTGGTATTTACCTTTTCCTCCTGGTCCATTCTGAAGCTCCAAAGAACGGTCAGTTTAATACAGAGACACAATTACAGCAAGCATCTAGTGTGAGGCGAGTCACGCATTTTGGCTAGAATTACTCAGGGCGTTGGAAAATCACAAACCTTTTCAAGTAACTTGCAAATTGCTAGCATTCTCTCTGCAAGACAAGAGGTGCTGTCTGTGCCCTGACCCCTGACTCCACACCCCAGCTTGTTCTGCCCCTTTCTGATTGTTCTAAGTAACTGACATACTTAGAGCAGTTTAGAGCCACGTCGTGGCCTTTCGAGGCCGGCGTGCTGTGATATTTTCCTACAGAGCGCGGTCACTTCCAGAGGCGAGAGAGGCACAGAATTCTATTCTGAGAATCCCTGGGACGCACGCCGCGGTGGCTGTGAGTATGAAGGCAGATGCTGTGGAACAGCCTGGAAAGGAGGCGGGGTCCGTGGCCCCTGGCAGTGCCCGGAGCTGAGCAGCCACCTTCCTGGAGGAGAAGCCCTGGGCCAGATGCCTGAGAATGACACACGCAGGCCCAGCTGTTCTTCAGAGATACAGAGCGACCCACCGTCTGCTTTGCTGGGACTGTCCAGTGTTCGCAGGGAAAGTCCTGCATCCGGTACGCTGGGGCGGTGGCTGCACCAGCTGAGAACCAGTCTCTGATTTTCGGGGTGAGAAAAGTAGAGGTGGGTGCTCTACCTGAATGCTCACCAGCTCAGGGGTGCAGCTGAGCAGTGGACATCAGTCAGACATCTCTGTGAAGTGTTAGCTGGAAGAGTATCATGGAACCATTAGCAGCCACTTGAGGTTAGGCCCAAACCAGTGGGGCCCACCGCATCCAAACACTTGGGGCCACCTGCCGTCATCAGGGGTGGCCCACCTTTCTTCTGAGCGGGGATTCTCTTCCTGCCTGGAGGCAGCAGTTTGGCTACAGAGCTGCCTTTGAGAGCGAGACCCCGTCTCCCCTCCCTGCGTTCCCAGGACTTTGTGAAGAAGAGAAAGTGAGTGGCTCTTCCTTTCTCCTGAATCTCGGCTGTGGGGCTGCCCGCCGCCCTCCTCCTCCCACCCTAGGCTGCCTGACCCATGGAGGCCGGCCTGAGACAGACGCATCCCCGAACACCAAGTGCCCCGTCTTCTAGGCCATTCCAGGGACGGATGAGTCAACATGGGCTTCTTATCCTAATGTTTTAATCTGGAACTCCGCTATTGATCTGATGTTTACAAAGGAACCCACGCGTGACATTAAACTGTCAAAAGAGAAGCCTGCACCCTGCGAGAATTCCTGCCTGAGATACTTTTTGTGAGTGTAAGTGCAGAGAGAGCCCACGCAAACCACAGGACACCAGAGCCACCGCCCTGCCCCTCCAAGCTGCTGGCACTCAAGCTCACCCTCTCTGGAGGAGCCATCATTCTGGCCTCAGATTCTCCTTCCAAAACACTGCAAACAGAATGTCAGGCAAAGAAAGAAAGAGCCAGGCACACATGGAGAGATGGCAATGTGAGTATAAGCGGTGAGAAACCCAGCAAATGAAAACATCTACATGAGAATGCAGACGCAGCACCCTCAGACGCCGGCTGCAGAGAGCGCTGGAGACATTGTCCATGAGAAGAAAAAGAGAAGGTCAAGAACTTCAGTGGAGAAATAAAAATTACACAAAAAGGAAAGATTTGGGTTTTTTTTCTTTGCTGATTGTATTCTTCCTATTCTCCCTCCACTTTCTTTTTAGAACTCCAACTTTTCTCATTGCGTTCTCTATTTTCTTATTGCAGTCTCTATTTCTATGCCTATTTGTAAATGCAATACAAAGATGATTGCCTGGGAAAAATACAAGCAACATTTCAGAACTCAATAAGTGGGTTTAAAAATAGTTTAGATATCACTGAACAATAATGAATAACTAGAAAGTAGGTCAGAAGAAGATTCTCAGAATGAAGGACAGAAGCATAAGGAGGAAAATAGAGAGAGCAAGTGTGAGGGACTGAACCGCGTCCTCCCAGAATGCCCATGCGGAAGCCTGGCTTAGTTCTGGCTGCCATAACAAAATGCCATAGACTGGGGGCTCAGAAACAACAATGCATTTCTCACAGCTTTGAAGACTGGGGAGTCTCAGATCAAGGTACCGGCAGATTCCGTGTGTGGTGAGGACCGGCTTCCCTGGTGTGTCACTGCGTCCTCACATGGGGGATGGGGGAGGGGCGCTCTGGGGCCTCTTTTATGAGGACACCGATCCCATGATCAGCGGTCCACCTTCAGGACCCCGTCCCTACCACAGGCCCCATCTCCTAACACCATCGCCTTGGGGGTGAGGATTTCAACAGATGAATTTCGGGGAACACGGACATTCAAACCCTCACAAAGCCCCACCCACCAAGGAGAGTCTGTCTGGAGAGAAGACATTAGGGAGGTAATTAAGGTGAAGTGCAGCCAGCAGGGTGGGGCCCTGATCCGATAGGACTGGAGTCCTTATGAGAAGAGGAAGAGACACCAGATTGCGTGCGTGTGTGTGCATGTGTGCGTGTGTGTGCACGTGTGTGTGCATGTGTGTGCGTGTGTGTGCATGTGTGCGTGTGTGTGCACGTGTGTGTGCACGTGTGTGCGTGTGTGTGCACGTGTGTGCGCGTGCACATGCGTGTGCACAGAGAAAAGGCCTTGTGCACACAGGGAGCAGGTGGCCCTCCACAAGCCAGGAAGAGAGGCCTCACTAGACTAACCCTGTCCCTGTGTTGATCTTGAACTTGCAGCCACCAGGGTTGTGGAGCCCCTGGTCTGTGGTGCTGGCTTATGGCAGCCCTACTGCCCCAGTGAGATGGGAAGAGACAGCAGACACAATGAGAAGACACCACACGTGAGTAACTGGAGTTCTGGGAAGGAGAGAAAGAATAGGCAAAATCAGTATTTAAAGTGGTAATGGCTTAAAATGTTCCCAAACTGACGCAAGCCACCCCGGCCCCGGTGGGCTGCTTCTGACCCTGTGACCCGGGGCTGTCACCGCAGGAGCCTCCCTGGCCGCCTGGCTATTTGCTGTCACCACGGCAGGCCTGCTGTGGCTGCCTCCCCTCTGCAGATGCCACCGGGTGCCCTGGGGAGCGGCAGGCACTTCCTTTCCCGCACTCAAGATGCCCACATTTTGAAAACCCGAGGGGGCACATTGGATTCTCCAACTACACACTTTCAAAAGCCAAATGGAATCAACCTGGGTGCCTATCAATGGATGAATGGATACAGAACACGTGGTATCTTACGCAATGGAATACTCCGCAGCCATAAACAAGAATGAAATCATGTCGTTTGCAACAACATGGATGGAATTGAAGGCTGTCATGTTAAGGGAAGTAAGCCGGGGTAGAAAGACAAATGTACCATGTTCTCACTCATTTGTGGGCACTGAAAGAGTGGCTCTTACAGAGGCAGAGAGTTGGCTGGTGGTTCCCAGAGGCTAGGCAGGGTGTGTGGGTGAGAGGCAGACAGAAAGTGAGGCTGGTTATGGGGCACAAACATGCAGTCAGGTGAAGGAGTAAGTTCCAGTGTTCCATAGTACAGTTCACAGACCAAAGGCAACAATCAGTTACTGTATATTTCTGCCTCCTCCTCCCCGGGAAGCAGCTGGCCAGTGCATCAGGGAACACAGGTCTCTTTCCTCTGTCTTCCTCCATCAGGCTCCGGAAAGCTTTCCCCAGAGAAGACGCCAGACAGCAGGGGCTGCCTCCCGGGGCTTTTGTGACCCAGCCTGTTTCTCCATCCGAGCTGCAACCTCTGGGTGGGGGTGTCTGCACCTGGGGTGTGTGAGAGTGAGTGAGGGAGCGTGCCTGTGCCTGTGTGCGTGCATCTGTGTTCCTGCGGGCTGTGCCTCTCTGTGCACGTGTGTGCAGCCATGCGTGCGTGTTCACACGTGTGGAGTGTGTGCGTGCGTCCGTGCCTGGGTGTGGCGGGTGGTGAGGCTGGCAGAGCGTCCTGACCCCTCGGGCCCCAGGCCTTGTCCCTCTTCTCCGTGTCCCAATCTTCCTTCAACCGCCCGCCCCGCCCCTGCCTTTGGTGGCCTGGAGTCCCCACCGGCTCTGGGTACTAGGGCGCCGGGCAGCGCGGGAACTAACGGGCAGAGTCTGTGGGGTCGGGATGACTGAAAACAGGCCCTGTCTTCGGTTTAGGCTCAGGCGGAAACCCCCCGGGGGCCTCTGGGGGCTGCGGTCGGTGCCAGGGGTCCCGGGCAGCTGCCTGAACGCGCACAGCGGCTCCTGCCCCGCAGCCTCCGCCCCGCGCCCGCGTCCTCGGGCCGGCAGCGCCCCCTGGTGCCGCCTCGGGTCTGTGCAGGGCCGGGCGGGCTGCGCGGAGCACCTGCAGGCGCCTCCATGGGTGACGGAAGACAGAGGGGCTGACCAGGTCTTCTACAGGTCAGTGGGCGATCAACAGCTGGACGCGTAGCAGGGGGCAGCCAGGTGGCCTAAGAGAATTCAGCAAGGCCGACTGCAGGCCGAGAGTCACCGGGAACTCACCTGGAAGGAGTGGATGTGGCCGCCCCAGGACCACCCTGTTCCAGGTGCCCGGCCCCGGCCGTGGAGCCCTTGGACGTATCTGTTTCTTTAGCTGCAGCGAGCGGGGTCCCGGTGCTGAGCAGAAGACCCTGTGCTGCGGTCCCTGTGCTCCCTGGCAGCTGTGCGAGGAACTCTGACCTTTGGGGCCCCTGGGCACCTACCCTGTTGGTTCCTGCTCTGGGCTGCCGAGGGCTGGGTGCTGTGCTGTGTAAAAGGCCGTATGGACGGGGCTTCTGTGTCCCCTGAGTCAGGCACTGCACCCTTATGCTCCCCTCAGGGGCCACACCACCTGCAGTGGTCCCTGGAGAGCAGAGGAAAGGTCCCCCTGGGCCAGATGGGGGCAACTGGTGGGCATCCTGCCCACCGACTGGTTGGGGGGCCTGGCTCTGCAGGAACGGAGGGGGGGCGGGCCAGGGGCTTTCCCTCCAGGTGTGGTAACAGATCAAAGAACATCTACCCCAAACCAGACCGGACTCAGCACACACCTTACCCAGGGCTCCAAAGACACCAGAATGGGGAGTAGAGAGGGAAAGAGACCAACAGAGACAGAGAGAGGGAGAGATTCAGAGCAAGGCGGGGTGGGGTGCGGAGGAGAGGAGGAGAGACCCCGGCCCTTCTCACCTCACAGACCGCTCGGGCTAACTTGGCCCCACCCCCACCATCCACCCTCCAACCCCACCCCCACCGGCCCCCAGGGCTGAGCAGAGACCTCTGGGACATGGTCGCGCACACACAGAACCTGTCCCAGAAGGCAGGACCCCGTCCCTGCCCCAGCTTCCGGCTGGCAGGGCTGTGTCAATGACTTCTGGCCAAGCGACACCAGGAAATGGCATTCCGTGGGGTCAGGTGGCTCCTCAGTGCCTTTTCCCGGCTTTTCATGTAAAATCATGGCAGGCAGCATCGGGAAGTGTCCCACACCCCTACAAGCTCAGGGGGTGGCCACCTTTACCCACAGAGCCAAAACGTGGGCGCAGGCTCCCCTCTGCAGTGGACGCGCTGAGGGCACACCCAGGCCCCGGCCCCCTCAGCGGCATCAGAGCAGCACACAGGGCCCGGTGAGGGTGGCCTCCACCCCTCCACCACACCAGGCATGGCTCGGAGCCAGGCCGGAGGGAGGGCGTCAGCTCTGCAATGCATCCAGTAGTTTCCACCCTTGGCTGTGAAGAGCGGCGTTTCCTGACAGAAGTTTCTAGCACATGTGTGCTGGCGAGGATGCGGTCGTCTACTTGCTGGGCACACACTGTGCCAGGCTGAGTGGAGGCCCCCAAAGATGTGCAGCCCCGCAAACCTGTGAGTGCCGCCTCAGATGGCAACATGATGACAGGTCTGGAGCGGGGAGAGTCTCCCGGGTCACCCACCTGCACCCTGTGCTGGGCCAGGTAGTGCCCCCCACCCCACCAAGATTCACATCCCTTCTCCGGGGAAGATGTGCGCGATGTGACAGCCCGTGAGTCCGTCCATTCCGGGGACACTATGGGGGTCACTGCGGGGGGCGGGCAAACAGAGGTGCTTCAGCCCACACAAACAAGCTAATTGAGTTTTTCTGTTTGTTTGGTTTTGAGCGAAAACGTGAACATTTTGTCCAGCTGCTTTTTAGATTCGAGAGCAGGAGCAGCCAGCACTGCTGAGGCAGTCACACGTATACAGCTTCACGGAGCAAGCACCCAGCCAGGGCCTTGCTGACTGTGGCTGCTAATAAAACAGCAGCAATTTAGTTTCATAAAATTGCTAATAGTTTTCTTAAAATGCCATTGCACTTAAGCATACACAGGGACACCCCCATCGTCTCTGCTCTCCAGCGGGAGGATATGAAGCTGGAGACTGGAGACTGGCCAGGGACAGAGGCAACTACTCCCTGAAATGATGTCACCCTGTGCAAGCACCTTCCCCAGGCCAGGCCAGGCCTCAACACCCCCAAGCACCTTCCCCAGGCCAGGCCAGGCCTCAACACCCCCAAGCACCTTCCCCAGGCCAGGCCACACACCCAGGGTCCAGGAGGCGGGAGTGGCAGTCTCATCACCATGCTGGAACAAGCAAGTGCCAGCCCATCTTTTCACTCATTGTCTTATTTCCTCAAGGTCCAAATTCTAGGGAATGAATTCAGACAATCCAGCTTGATCCATATGCCCAACCCTTGGTGATAGGTTTTAACAAAACAATTGTTGGCCAGACAAGCGGCTCACACCTGTAATCCCAGCACTTTGGGAGGCTGAGGTGGGCAGATCACCTGAGGTCAGGAGTTCAAGACCATCCTGGCCAACATGGTGAAATCCCATCTCCATCACCTGAGGTCAGGAGTTCAAGACCATCCTGGCCAACATGGTGAAATCCCATCTCCACTAAAAATACAAAAATTAGCCGGGTGTGATGGCGTGCACCTGGGGTCCCAGCTACTCAGGAAGGTGAGGCACGAGAATCACTTGAACCCAGGAGGCGGAGGCTGCAGTGAGCCAAGATTGCTCCACTGTACTCCAGCCTGGGTGACAGAGCAAGACTGCGTTTCAAAAAAAAAAAGTTTCTGATAAAGTGTTTCTGGGGAAAAATGCTATCTAAGGAGTAAAGAGAGGGCTTACTCTGTTCTCTGAGACTCGTGAGTTGACTGGGCACATTGTGGAAAGAATGCAGGCTAGGTAAATATTTGTTTGGCTGGTCACCTCTGCCTTTTCGGTTGTAAGACTTTACTTGTACTTGGGTTTGAAGAAGGGTGGCCATGGCCAGTACATGCTACTGAAGGAGTGACTCTGCTTACAGGTGCTTATGGCGGGAGCTCCAGGCCAGTCCATTAGTGCTGTTTGTAGTGTTTGGAATAGTCTGGGAACCTTCTGCAAAAGTGTTCAGGTGGCCATTGGCTGAACCTTCCACTCTAAAACCTGACCTTCAAGAAGGCTTTTCCTGAGTCCTATGAGCCCTCTGCCTCCTACTCTTACTCCTGCCCCAGCCTTCCCGGAGACCCTGATGAGTATGAGCCTACCTTGGAAGCCACAGTTCCTCCAGGACTAAGGTAATGCTGAGAACCCTACAAATCAGGGACGAAAACCAAGGTCGCGAAGCCTGGATTTTCAGGTTTTATAGAAATTCTTAGGTGCCTTCTCCCTGTGTGCTGTCAGGGCATTGGGGCTGACAGAGGCACCCATTTGCAGCAGAACTGGGGTGAGGCTGAGGGGATCAGAAAGGGAGGAGCAAGGGGTATTTTCTGGGTCAACACAGGCCAGCTTATCTTGTGCAGAAGGATGTCTCAGGGGTATTTTAAAGCAGCCTTTATCTTGACTACCCTTCAATACAGATATACTTTTGTACATTCCCTCTGTATTTCAAGGAAAAGAATCTCTAAAATTAACTCTTTAATTTATGGAAAATGACTCATTTACAGCTAATTCAGTAAGCAGATAAGAGGAAAAAATACTCCACAATGCCACCATTCTAACAGAACCACACTAATTTTTACGTATGTTTTCCTTATGTATTTTTTCTAACCATATTTTTGCATAACTGTAATTATGATGTACATATGCTTTTTATATAGGTAAACTTCTTAATCTGGAATAATTTTAGATCCACAGTAAAGTTGCAAAGATAGTACAAATTCGTCACATAGCCCTCACCCGATTTCAGCTCTCCCTAATGTTACCATCTTACATTACTGTAGTACTGGACATTTCCCAAAACTAAGGAACCAACATTGGTATGTTACTTTTAACTAAACTCCAAATTGTATTCAGATTTTGCCAGTTTTTTCACTAATATCCTTTCTCCATTTCGGGATCCCACCCGGGATCCCACATGGCATTCAGTCATCGTATCTGCTTAGTCTCCTCTCGTCCGTGACGGCATCTCTTTCCTTGTTTTCGAGACCTTGGCAATTTTGAGTAGGGTCAAGTGTTTTGTAGAAAGTTCCTCGAATTTTGCTCCTGTGTTTATGTTGTTTGTTGTTTTTCTCATGATTAGACTGAGGTTATGGGTTTCTGAATGAATGTCAGGGAAGATGTACCCCTTTCATTGTATTAGTAGGTACATGACATCCAATGACATCTTTGGAGATGTTAACGTTGATTACTTGGTTAAGGTCGTGTTAGCTCTCTCTACTCTAAAGTTGCTATTTTCCTCTTTCTATATCCTTTTATTTAAAAAAGTGAATCACTAATTCCAGTCCACCCTCAATGGGAGAAGGAATTAAACTCCACCTCCTGGGAGAATTTACGTATTTTGTTTAGAATTCTTCTGTGAGAATTTATTTATTTGGTCATTTATTTATGTATGTATGGACTAATAAATATATATTTGACATACACTTTTTCTAACTTCTTCTCACATAACATTGTATTACAAGACTTTTTCCCCATGTTACTATCATAATTTATTTTTTTGTTTGAGACAGAGTCCCACTCTGTTGCCCAGGGTGGAGTGCAGTGGCGTGATCTCGGCTCACTGCAACCTCCGCCACCCGGGTTCAAGCAATTCTCCTGTCTCAACCTCGCGAGTAGCTGGGATTACAGGCGCCCGCCATCATGCCCAACTAGCTTTTGTATTTTTAGTAGAGACAAGGTTTCACCATGTTGGCCAGGATGGTCCCAATCTCTTGACCTCGTGATCCGCCCGCCTCGGCCTCCCAAAGTGCTGGGATTACAGGCGTGAGCCACTGTGTGCGGCTCACTATCATAATTTTTATAACTGTCATTTTGATGGTTGCATCAATTTTTTTATTTTCCATTAACTTTTTACTTTCATAAATTATGCTGCAGTAAACATCTTTAAACAATATTCTGTGATTCTTTGTACTCTCAGCTCTGGCATGGTGTCTGGAACACGGAGGCATCTATAGATGTTTGGGATTGACGGATGATTGAATGAATAAATAAATGCTGGGCTGCCATTGTGAATCAATGGTCCTTGTTTTCCTCTTCAACAGTCTTTCCAATTTTGGAATATGATCATCTAAAATCTAAGTTAAATGTTGAGAACAGAAGTTTGGGAACTTACTGGAAATCAAGCTTTGGCTTCCTGTGAACTACACCAGTTTGTAACAATGAACAAAAGGGCCTTAGAACAAAGTGAAGGTTTTGTACTGTAAGCTATTTTCCTATCTCTAGTTGAAAAACATTTGAACATTTTATCAACTTCAGCAGTCTTTCACATGGCTTTTTCATTCTCCTCTCAGTTTAATTTGTAAATATGAAGATTTTTAAATATGTAGGGTGTGTTTACAGCATATAAATATCATCTTATCTCCTGGTTTAGTCCCTGGCAAGGAAAGAGCTGGCAGTTTAATAATAAAGTGACTGAAGGACATTTGGGATGTGTGTCCTCTGATGATGACTGCTGGACAAACACAACAGGAGCAGTTGCAGACAAAGTAGCTGAGGGAGAAGACAGGAGATGAGGACACGCTCACTACTGCAGAGACTTGGTGAGCACTAAGAGGGGAGGTAGAGGTGGTCACAATCCCGCCCCTCATGCCACAGTGTGCTGGTGCTTTTTTTGTTTTGTTTTGTTTTTTTGAGACAGGGTCTCGCTCTTCATCCAGGATGGAGTGCAATGGAGCAAGCTTGGCTCACTGCAGCCCTCGCCTTCCAGGTTCAAGTGATTCTCATGATTCAGCCTCCCGAGTAGCTGGGATTACAAGCACATGCCACCATGCCTGGCTAATTTTTATATTTTTGTAGAGATGAGGTTTTGTGATGTTAGCCAGGCTGGTCTTGAATTCCTGACCTCAGGTGATCCCCCTGCCTTGGTCTCTCAAAGTACTGGATGACACTCGTGAGCCACCGCGCCCGGCTCCTCATCCCACAAGGTGCTTCTAATCATTGTTCCACTGAGGCGCAGGGAGGAAAATAATGTATGATCAAGAACACCTGAATTTGTGTGCTAGTGGCAGAAAAGTAATGAGAGATTTATTTTAGAGGAAAACATCCACAGAACTTGATGACAGGGAGTAGGAATGAGACGATGCGTGATGAGCTCAGTGTGCCACTTACAGAGGAAGTTGAAGACAATTAATTTTCAAACCTGGGTGACTAATGGTTAGGTTTTTGGAAATACGGAATTTATGCTGGTTTTAGACACACTGGTTGGAGATGACAAGGGGACATTTAAGGGGAAATGTTGAGAGAGTTGCAGCGTAGAGCTGGAGCTCCAGTGGGCCAGGAGCAGAAGAGAAAGATGCTAGCTGCTCACAGAAGTGGGAACTGAAGCATCTAAGGCAAGTCAGATGTTGCGGAGAGGAAGACACCTCATTTTAAGTGACAGTTACACCATGCACCAGAAACCCAGAGAAGTGAAGTGGTTCGCTCGAGGTCTCATGGCAAGTTAGAGACACAGCCACTCCACCTCACTTTCCTTGATGTGTGTGGTCCAGTTTGCTTTACATTATAACACAGAAACCTTCTCAATGTTCAGATATACCTGCTTTACAGTGGACACATGCCATTTCTTGACAGTCAAGGCAGGCTGACGAAAGACAGAATTTTATTTCCTTAGTTTATTAAAGATGACAATGAACTGCCAGGCTGCACAAGCACCACAGCAGGTGGAAACGCAGTTCAGAGCACGGGCGGCACACACGGAACATCTCTACTAAGACTCGCACTCCTTTTATGTTAGTTCAACGAAAGCTCTAAATCCTTGGCAGAGAACGTCAAAAACAGCCTCATTTAAGTGGAAAATATTTGTCTTCCACTCTTCTGCTATGTCTTGAATCTTGTCTCCACCTGGTAAGCAAACTATGTTTTTTTTCTTTCCCTTTACTTACAGAAAGAACACTATCACCTGCCTTCATTTAGAAGGAATTCTCTTCAGTGCATTCAAAGCTTCTCCCCGCAACAGCAGGGGATTTTCAGATAGTGGTAACTTGCAAAGTGCTTCCAAAACATCCCATCCTCTACCCACTTCCCCCCTCTTGAATAAATAACTGGGTATTTGGAAGGTGAGGACGGCATCGTGTCAGAGTCACTAAAACAGACGCACGATCTAAAGGGATGGGGTGCGGTTGAGGGAGCTAGGGAAAAATAAGTGACAAGTGAGGAGCCTATGAGACTGTTGAGTTCGGCTTCAGAAGCTGTCAGCATTGTCATCCTTTGATCCTATGCTGATGTGAAACAGGCAGGACAAGACGGCACATCTGTCCTCCAGCGCAGTGACCTGGAGAAAGAGCTGGATGTGTCACCTTTTTGTTTTTTGAGACGGAGTCTCACTCTGTCACCCAGGCTGGAGTGCGGTGGCGCAATCTCGGCTCACTGCAACCTCTGCCTCCCAGGTTCAAGCGATTCTCCTGCCTCAGCCTCCCAAGTAGCTGGGATTACAGGCGTGTGCCACCACGCCCAGCTAATTTTTGTATTTTTGGAAGAGACAGGGTTTCACCACATTGGCCAGGCTGGTCTCAAACTCCTGACCTCATGATCCGCCCGCACTGGCCTCCCAAAGTGCTGGGATTACAGGTGTGAGCCACTGTGCCTGGCCTGGATGTGTAATTTAAACCAAAACTGGAAGTAGAGCTCATTTTTATAAACTCCTGGGTCTGAATCTGGGACCTAACCCCTAGTTAAACTTGAGTTCTGTGGGGTCATTCTTAAAGCTCCCTGAAGGACCTGGGCACTTCTAGTCACAGCCCTTCAGAACTTCTGGGACTTGGCTTTTTGAGTCTCACTATGAACAGAAGGGAGAACAGCCTCAGGGTCTTCTAGCCCTACATGGCTTTCAGATCCCAACTTTGAGGCAGAGGAATCAAGGGCAGGGGCCAGTTCCCACATGTTCCCTCTCACGCTGGTGGAGCCTCAGCCCTGGCCATCACCTTAATGCCTCTCCCACTTCCCTGGGAGACTCCTTCTTACCGCCAGCTCAAGCTCTCATCAGCTTCCACCAACCACAGGCAACTTTCCGCTCAGCTTCCAGGGCAGCACCCACGCCCATTTCTTTCCTACCAGCAAGCAACTATGAGAAGACATGCCCATGGGCAGAATTCAATCCCAGAACAAAAATGATGCAGGCTTTAGTTCACAGAGCTGCCAGCTCTTGGAGAAGCCACTCTGACCAGTGTTTTCACAGAGGTTAGAAGCTGCATCAACTTAAGGAACATCACAAACACACACATGGCCCCACCCAAGGACTTCACTGTCAACACACACATTAACGGGGGGGAAGGGGGAGGCAGCACACCAAAATCAGCATTATCAAAAGGACTTCACCATCAACACACATTAACGGGGGGAGGGGGGCAGCACACTAAAATCAGCATTATCAAATGAACAGATAAACATTACCAGGCTACACAGAGTTAAGTGCATAATTGGCATAAAGGCTCTTGTTATCCCAAGAACACAGGGACATTCACACTCACATCCACAAACCGTCAAGTTCTGTAACAGCACTAATAGCAGGAAGCTTTTCTCCAACTTTGACCAAAGAAGCTAAGGCAAGAGAGACTCGGCCACCAGGGAAGGACCCAGCTCTGCTGCAGGAAGGGGAGAGAACGGAGTCGGGTTGTACTTTTACTCAGAAGCACAACGACCATCTAACAGAGGACAGAGTCATCAGGGACACGCTAAGAAGATGGTGGGTGAGGTTCCTGTCCTCACCTTAGGATGGCATCAGGGACCTGCCTGAGCTTCAAAGATCACACCTGCACCAAAAAGCCAGGTTAACTAAGAGACCTTAACACCAAGAGGGGGCCGACCGCTCCTCTGAGTAAGCGCTCCTTCAGCGACAGAGCTGGCGCCTCACGTATGCTTGCGGCGTAAGGCTACAGGTGAGCCTGGCCTGAGCATCAGTTCTGTTCTTTGCTTCAAGATCACCAAGGTAGATGAAGAAAGTCAGCTTGTGGCATCCTCTATGCTTCAAATATTTCAAACAGGAACTCCCGGCAACATAGGGACATTCACAGCTGCCTCTGAGGTCTCTGAGGAGTCTAGGATAGTCAGGATTGTTCTGTGGCCCCCAAAATACCCAAATAAGTGGACGAAATGCCCATGACGTAGTCCTATTCTCTGCTGCTTCTCCTCGGGGCACAGTCTGACCCCAGTCCAGGACAGGGAGAGGGAAAACGCCATCCCCGTTTCAGCAGCAGGAGAGGTGGTTGAGAAAGGCCTGGCTCAGAAGCTCCAGAACTGAAACAAAGGAAAATTGGAAATGATACCTGACATGCAGGTGAAACCTAGAGGAGAAGGCCACAGACGCTGGAAGAACTTGGTCTTGCTGTCTCTTCCACTGACAGAGGCACTAGAAGCTTCACTGAAGGACCCGCATGTCAGTTCTGATGGAAACACCTGGTGTTTACAAATTATCTGTCACCACAGACTCTGGACCCATCAACCTGCCGACGGCTGACTGCACACAGACGTCAGACAAGTCAGTAAAAAAAAAAAAAAAGATGATGATAATTAAAAAAAAAAAAAAAAAAAGAAGCCCCAGGTGGGGCGAGTCCTTCAAAGAGTGGCTCAGTTCTGCAACAGGTGTGACCCGGCCCGGAGGGAGGGCTGCACGTGCTTTCTTCAGGTGGCCTCCAGGACGGCGGCTTCCAGGGCCAGCGCTTCCGCGGGCTCCTCCTCGTAGTCTGACAGGTAAGACTCCAGGCTCTGCCTGGCCAGTGCCTCCCGCCGGGCCTGCAGCCGCTCGCAGCGCGGACAGCTTCCAGACTTGAAGCAGGCTTTATGGTAACACGCTTTACACTCTACTCAGGTTGGGAAGGTGGGGGAGAGAAGAAAACAATTTGTATTATCTCCAGCTAGAGGTCAGTTGCTGCCACAGCCCCTTCTCGCCACCAAGGCGTGGTGTCCCCTGGGGAGGCCCCGCGAGGTGCTGAGTGGCACCGAACTCTTGCTAACAGGGGTGGCTCTGGGGAATCAAGGAGCCCTGTGTTCAGGCTCACTTGCCCGATGCCTGCACCTGCCCTCACCTTCACAGGTCCGGCACTTATGGAGCTCAAAGGGAAAGATGATGTCATCCTCATTCTGACAGAACTCACAGATGAAGCCTTTGGCTTGGCAGAGCTGGGGAGGAAAAACACAGATGGCAAAATGAGGAGCGGCACATCAGGAACTGGCACGGGAGGGTGAACACCGAGGAGGGGAGTGGTCTACAGGGTTCTGCTGCCCACAGGGAGGAGGCCTGGGCTGGACTCAGAAGCATGAAAGCTAAACTAGGACCAGGGCCGGGCAGCGTTAGACAAAGCTTTAGGCAGAAGATCAGACAGGCACCAGCCGGAGAAGCTCCGACCCCCAGCGCGGCTCTCCATGAAGAGAGGAGAAGGAGGAAATGGCACCACAAAGGGCTTCCTAAGCCGACAGTCCCATCTGGGTCATGATTTTATTTCAGAATAGGAACCACAAGCAATTAAGATAAAATGTGGAGACGAGGCTGTTCCTCAAACACAGCTCCAAGCCTGGAGTCAGGTTGTAGTGAAGGATTTCCAGTTCCTCCCAGACACACAGGGTTTCCTACCTGTGCCCAGCTCGAATTATGGGACGGTCACAGGAACATAAACTGGGCATAGGCTAAGACAGGAAGTTCTAAAAGTGTAATTTCTGCATTTTCAACATGTTGAGTAGATGACGACAATAACGACGTGCGTTTGAGGAATACATAAAGTATACAAAACGCTGTCATACAAATTACCCCATCAACCCTCAAAAATACTGAGAAGAAAGTAAATTATTCTCTTCATCTTAGAGCCAAGAAAATCGAGGCCTCAGAGGGGACAAAGTATTTATTTTGGTCATAATGACTGAGAACAACAAATGACGGCCGAGGGTAGACTCCCTCTCGATTCCAATCCAGAGCTCTCCTCTCACATCATGACAACTGCCTTTTTTTTTTCCACTCTTGTCGCTCAGGCTGGAGTGCAGTGGCATGATCTCGGCTCACTGCAACCTCCGCCTCCTGGATTCAAGCAATTCTCCTGCCTCAGCCTCCCGAGTAGCTGGGATTACAGGCACCCGCCATCATGCCCGGCTAATTTCTGTATTTTAGTAGAGATGGGGTTTCATCATGTTCGTCAGGCTGGTCTTGAACTCCTGACCTCAGGTGACCCGCCCACCTCGGCCTCCCAAATTGCTGGGATGAGAGGCCTAAGCCACCGTGCCTGGCCAACACTTCTTGAGTGAAAGTCTACTCGGTCTTGCCCGGAGCTACCCAGGACCACAGCCAGCACCAGCTCCTCCCCTCACTCGAGGTTCTTTAGATCAGGATGATTTGGCTGCTCTCCAGGCTAAGGAACAGCAGCCCTTTCCAGTTCCTCTCCCAGTGCTGACTGGCCATTTCAACTTCCTCAAGCTAAGTGGCAAGAACCCCAGGTCCACCCCCCTCCCTGTATCCCTAAAAGCAAGGGCTCAGCTGCATGCTACAGTGAGACTTTCTCACCATGCATCTCTCCACATGGGTAGCCCCTGCCCTGGTGAGCTCAGCAAGCCGGGGCCCCAGCTCCCCCTTCCTGGTCGCAGTCAGGTCATTCAGTGAGTACAGGTGGAGGTCCTCTGTCAGGTGGCCTGGGACTGTGTCAAAGGAATCCAGAAGCCTACAGGGAGTGACAGGAGGCAGGTGAGGGAATGAACAGTGCATGTGCCACATCGTAGTAGAAGGATCCCTATCCAGAAACTGCAGAAAGTAATGAGGGTGGGCACCCATCAGCCAGCCCAAGGTTCCAGGCCGCCGCAGCCGTTCCACGCTATTAGGTGTCTGGATGGCAGGAGTGACTGATTTATAGGCTCCTGCAGAGTGGCCCATGTGAGACCCAGCCTGGGAAGAGAGGTGGCCTGTCCTGGATGGAATGACCACAGATCCCCTTCCAGAGAGAAGGACACAGATACAGTTACTGCTGTGGCCTCCTGTTTACCACTTTACAGTTCTGCAAAATCTCTCTACTCTCCTTCGTTACATAACAAGAGCCAAGCGCGGGGATGTGTCCCTTTCGGAGACAGCAACGTGGCCAGAGGGCTCTAGCTCCAAAAGGACTTACTCCTTGGCCAGTCGGCAAGTCTTGAACATGTTCTTCATGTGACACAGCTGGACCCGCAGCAGCTGAAAAGAAAGAGAGGGGGGCAGGAGTGGGAGGGAGATGTGAGAAGAGGAATCCAGTGTGGGAAGCCCAGGGCCTTTAAACCCTGGGGTTCTAGAAGCCTTGCATGCTGCACCCAGAGCAGACTGTCCTACGCTCTGACAACTGGCTCCAGACTGTCCTATGCTCTGACTCGACACCTGGCTTCAGATTGTCCCACACTCTGACTGACAACTGGCTTCAGACTGTCCTACGCTCTAACTCGACACCTGGCTTCAGACTGTCCCACACTCTGACTGACAGCTGGCTTCAGACTGTCCCACGCTCTAACTCGACAACTGGTTCCAGACTGTCCTATGCTCTAACTCGACACCTGGCTTCAGACTGTCCCACACTCTGACTGACAACTGGCTTCAGACTGTCCTACGCTCTAACTCGACACCTGGCTTCAGACTGTCCCACACTCTGACTGACAGCTGGCTTCAGACTGTCCCACGCTCTAACTCGACAACTGGTTCCAGACTGTCCTATGCTCTAACTCGACACCTGGCTTCTGACTGTCCCACACTCTGACTGACAACTGGCTTCAGACTGTCCTACGCTCTAACTCGACACCTGGCTTCAGACTGTCCCACACTCTGACAGCTGGCTTCAGACTGTCCCACGCTCTAACTCGACAACTGGCTTCAGACTGTTGTATGCTCTAACTCGATACCTGGCTTCAGACTGTCCCACACTCTGACTGACAACTGGCTCCAGACTGTCCTATGCTCTGACAACTGGCTTCAGACTGTCCTATGCTCTAACTCGACAACTGGCTTCAGACTGTCCTATGCTCTAACAACTGGCTTCAGACTGTCCTACACTCTGACAACTGGCTTCAGACTGTCCTACGCTCTAACTCGTCAACTGGCTTCAGACTGTCCTATGCTCTAACTGACAACTGGCTTCAGACTGTCCTACGCTCTAACTGACAACTGGCTCCAGACTGTCCTACGCTCTAACAACTGGCTTCAGACTGTCCTACGCTCTGACTGACAACTGGCTTCAGACTGTCCTACACTCTGACAACTGGCTCCAGACTGTCCTACGCTCTGACAACTGGCTCCAGACTGTCCTACGCTCTAACTGACAACTGGCTTCAGATTGTCCTACGCTCTGACAACTGGCTCCAGACTGTCGTATGCTCTAACTGACAACTGGCTTCAGACTGTCCTACGCTCTAACTGACAACTGGCTCCAGACTGTCCTACGCTCTAACAACTGGCTTCAGACTGTCCTACGCTCTGACAACTGGCTCCAGACTGTCGTACGCTCTAACTGACAACTGGCTTCAGACTGTCCTACGCTCTAACTGACAACTGGCTCCAGACTGTCCTACGCTCTAACAACTGGCTTCAGACTGTCCTACGCTCTGACAACTGGCTCCAGACTGTCGTATGCTCTAACTGACAACTGGCTTCAGACTGTCCTACGCTCTAACTCGTCAACTGGCTTCAGACTGTCCTACGCTCTGACAACTGGCTCCAGACTGTCCTACGCTCTGACAACTGGCTTCAGACTGTCCTGTGCTCTAACTGACAACTGGCTTCAGACTGTCCTATGCTCTGACAACTGGCTTCAGACTGTCCTATGCTCTAACTCGACAAGTGGCTTCAGACTGTCCTACGCTCTGACAACTGGCTTCAGACTGTCCTACGCTCTAACTCGACAAGTGGCTTCAGACTGTCCTACGCTCTGACAACTGGCTCCAGACTGTCCTATGCTCTGACAACTGGCTTCAGACTGTCCTACGCTCTGACTGACAACTGGCTTCAGCCTGTCCTACGCTCTGACTGACAACTGGCTTTAGACTGTCCTACGCTCTAACTTGTCAACTGGCTTCAGACTGTCCTACGCTCTAACTGACAACTGGCTTCAGACTGTCCTACGCTCTGACAACTGGCTCCAGACTGTCCTACGCTCTGACAACTGGCTCCAGACTGTCCTACGCTCTAACTGACAACTGGCTCCAGACTGTCCTACGCTCTGACAACTGGCTCCAGACTGTCCTATGCTCTGACCACTGGCTCCAGACTGTCCTACGCTCTGACAACTGGCTTCAGACTGTCCTACGCTCTAACTGACAACTGGCTTCAGACTGTCCTACGCTCTGACAACTGGCTCCAGACTGTCCTATGCTCTAACTGACAACTGGCTCCAGACTGTCCTACGCTCTGACAACTGGCTCCAGACTGTCCTACGCTCTGACAACTGGCTTCAGACTGTCCTACGCTCTAACTGACAACTGGCTCCAGACTGTCCTACGCTCTGACAACTGGCTCCAGACTGTCCTACGCTCTGACAACTGGCTCCAGACTGTCCTGTGCTCTGACAACTGGCTTCAGACTGTCCTACGCTCTGACAACTGGCTCCAGACTGTCCTACGCTCTGACAACTGGCTCCAGACTGTCCTACGCTCTAACTGACAACTGGCTTCAGATTGTCCTGTGCTCTGACAACTGGCTTCAGACTGTCCTACGCTCTGACAACTGGCTTCAGACTGTCCTACGCTCTAACTGACAACTGGCTTCAGACTGTCCTGTGCTCTGACAACTGGCTTCAGACTGTCCTACGCTCTGACAACTGGCTCCAGACTGTCCTACGCTCTGACAACTGGCTCCAGACTGTCCTACGCTCTAACTGACAACTGGCTCCAGACTGTCCTGTGCTCTAACTGACAACTGGCTTCAGACTGTCCTGTGCTCTGACAACTGGCTTCAGACTGTCCTACGCTCTGACAACTGGCTCCAGACTGTCCTACGCTCTGACAACTGGCTCCAGACTGTCCTACGCTCTAACTGACAACTGGCTCCAGACTGTCCTGTGCTCTAACTGACAACTGGCTTCAGACTGTCCTACGCTCTAACTCGACAAGTGGCTTCAGACTGTCCTACGCTCTAACTGACAACTGGCTCCAGACTGTCCTACGCTCTAACTCGACAAGTGGCTTCAGACTGTCCTACGCTCTAACTGACAACTGGCTTCAGACTGTCTTACGCTCTAACTGACAACTGGCTTCAGACTGTCCTATGCTCTAACTTGCTCTAACTCACTCTGACAACTGGCTTCAGAGTGCCCTCTAGTCAGGGAAGGCCCCTCCGCCAGGTCTGTCTGCCCGAGTCACATAAGCAGTCTGGGCAGAGGAGTGCTCCGAAATTCCAATTTCTTACTCGATACCCGATTCCTCATTCATTCACTAATGTTTTTAGTGAAGGAAGAAATTCTGCTTTTGCCCTCAAGTGCTATCTACAGCTTCCTAGCTGCCATTGCCACGTTTGAGGCTCCAACTAGACAGATAACCTGGGAAATGGGAAGAGATTAAGAAAGTACATAGTGAGGGCATGAACGGAGAGACGGTTATAGCTTTGACACTGCGATAACAAGAAGTGTGGTAATTGTGGGAAGCCCTATATAACCAGGGGAGGGGACAAGGAGAGGAGACGAGGGGAGGGGATGGGGGGAGGGGACAAGAGGAGGGGATGGGGGGAGGGGACGGGGGAGGGACGAGGGGAGGGGATGAGGGGAGGAGAAGGGCAAGACTCTAAGGTGGCCTTTTCCAAGGTCTTACCCGGACTTGATTGAGCAGCTTGACCTTCCTATAGAGGGCACTGTTTATGTCCTGCACGTTGAAGAGAGGATCATTCCAGATCTTAATGAGCAGGTCCTTGGAGAAGTTGCTGACGTAGTACTTGCTGAAGTCCCACTTGCGCAGAACCCGGCTGGGGATGGCCATCTGGGCATTCTCGTGGCAGCACTGGCAGAAGTACTTGCCCAGGTACTCACAGTACCGCAGTCGCTTGATGTAATCTGGAAAAACCGGAAAGCCAGAAAGCCAGATGTAACTTTCCCATCTACAAGCTGGGAAGGCAGCTCTGCTTTTCCCTTGAAAGGGCAGAGAGGGACAGCCAATGGCCTCCAGCAACCTCTGTCTGAGTTCCCCAAAGCTTGCAGAAATCCACATAGTGGATCCTGGGGTGATAATGTCCTACCTTGGAGGCCCTGAGGAAATAAAACCAGCTGGAGATAGTAAGATCCCGCCTTACCAGCTAGCTGGAACTACCCAACTTTCCACAGGATACAATCCTGGCCATGTGCTCCCAGAAATCATTTCCCTCCGATTGCCAGCACTCTTGCCTACTACGAACCTTTCTTTCTCCTTCCCTACTTCTGCCACGCCACCTCCTGCTACCGCCTTTGACACGCCACCTCTCCCTACGTGTCGGGGAGGGTACAGAGCCTCTGGAGGCAGCATGGTGGGAAGGGAAGGCACTCACCAGGGTCAGTCCGGATGCCACATCCTGCACAGCGGTAATTCTGCTTGGCCACGGCAATTTTCCTCCTGAGGAAGGGTAAGGACAGGGCATTGGCACAGAGCAGCTGCGTGAGACCTTGGAGGTGTGAAGGAGTGAGCACACATACATACAGCTCCAGTTAAGTATGGGAAGAGAGGGGAATTCACCTACATTTTAGTTGGACAAAAATGAACCTATTGGGAGAGCTAACTCCATATAAGATTTAGGTCTAGGCAGTCACTCTGCCCAGTAAGGAACCACACATTCTGTACAAATATAAGGAATGAGATGTGGTAAAGGAGAGAGAATGACAGGAGAGAAGAGCATCCATCTATCTTAGAAAGAGAAGAAAAACCAGCAAGCCCACACAACTACTGGGAGGAAAGCTACAGGTTGGGAATGCCAGCAAAACAAAACCCGCCTCGTTTCCAATTAGCTCCAGGAATTAAGAGTAAGAAACGAAGGACCAAATGGACGACGCCCCCCCTCTGCCTTTAAATGAAGAGAACGGTGTGGGAAGGACAGCTGGAGGCAGGGACAAGTGGGTGAGACGAAAACCCTGACAATCCAAAGAGGACGGATCTGTGCTCCAAAGGGCACAGACACTGGCCACTCACGTTGGGGCTGGATGAACATTAAAAATTATCTGAGGCCGGGGCGGGGCCCACTCCAAGTTGCCACGAACACGAATCCGCAGCTTGTAGATGTCAGCGTGCTGCCCGTCATCCGGTGAGATGGGCAGTGAGTCAGGAATGGGCAGGAGCTGCAGGAGGAAAGCACAGTTGGGGTAAGCTCGTGTCAGTGTGCTGCCCGTCATCTGGTGAGATGGGCAGTGAGTCAGGGATGGGCAGGAGAAAAACACAGTTGGGGTAAGTTCACACGGACGGGCTTGAGAAACAGAAATGCGGGACCCTTTTGGCCATGACAGAGCATAATGAGTGAAAGACATTTCAGGAACACCACAGGATAAGGGCTTCAGGGAACCTCAGAAACAACCAGGAGGCGCCAAGGTACTACAAGTGAGGGCCGTGGGTTCCAAGAAGCAAACAGAAACAGCCTACCAGGGCAGTGGCCCCACGGCTCATGCTGTCCCTGCACCCATCCCAGGACCCTTGCTGTGCCAGTGTGTTTCATGCCTTAAAGACAACTGCAGAGCAAAGAATCCAAGCGATTTACTTTTGCGTAGTGTCTCCGAGGTGGTCACAAACCAAACATGACTGAGTCTGGCGAGCAGTCACGTGAATAAGGACCGCGAACGCGCCGTCATCTCTGCTCTGACAAGGTGAGCAAGCATTCACTCGTTCATTTATCACTTGACACATTGTAATGAATGGCTTCCACGAGTAAGGGGGGAACACCCAGGCTCATTCCAGACTAGGGACATGTGACGAAGGAAAACAAGGTCACAGAGGCTCACGATGGCCCCTGGGTAGGAAGAAGAGCTAAGGACCTACCTTCTGAGGGGCATCATGCTCCGGGACAAGCCACTCCAGCTCCGAGGCGGCTGGAAGCTGCATCCCCTCAAACTGCTTCAGGAGCCCCATGGCCACCGCCTCAGCAGACGTGGAGTGCAGGAAGCAGTGGGAGCTGGAAAGGGGAGAATCAAGGACGGCTGAACACAGGGAAAGGATGGGCGATGCGAGGCTTCCCTTCATGATCTCATCCCCCACGCAGCAACTTCTGGGCTGGAAGAACACCCGCAGCACCCTGGCCTGCTCATCACCCTCACACATGGGACAGTCAAAGTCCACTAGTCTCACGGTCCTAAGACTTCGGTTCAAGCCCCACTTCCTGCCACTGCACGGCACTGCTAATGAAGGACTCTGTCACTTCCTTTCTCTGAACTTCAGCTCCTCTAACAGCAAAATGGAGATTATAATGCCTGCTTACAAAACAAAGTGAGTAAAATTGCTTTGTGGACTACAAAGCGATTTTTCCTCCCAAATGAGCTACTGTGTCCCCTGGTTGGGTCTATGATGTGGAATCTGTTCAATTTGATTTCATAACCAAAAACCATCATCACTGCTCTCTTTTGAGACCTTCTGGGGCCTCTGGTTATGATGAGAGTCAGCAGAGAAGGAATAACTCACTTCCAGCTTTGCCTCCACGAGAGCCCATCCCACTGGGACCAAAGAGCTTCTGCTTTCTTCCCGTGGGCTCGGCACCATCAGCAAGCCCCTCCCTTTAACCTCGCCTCCTCTTACATCTGGATGGCTTTGCCCAGCCATACACCAAGAACTGGGTTTGTTTCTCTACATATCCTAAGGTTTTCTTTTCTTTTTTTTGGTAAAAAAAAGTACTCACAAGGACTGGGAGGAAACGAAGGATTTGCTGCTTGAGGCTGTGTTCCTTCTGATGTCAGCATCTACATGGAAACCAGAGATAAGGGGAGCGCAATGGAAACGGGGTGGGTAAGGGAACCTGGAATCTATTACAAGGTGCTCCCAGCTAAGCTCTCAGGGTAACAGCCAGGTGCCACACTCTATGCAGGAGAAAGGAGCAGGTGAAGCTCTAAACACAGGTTATAATTTGCCTCTATCCAAATCAAAACCAGGCTGAATTAGTAACATTATGCATAGCACTGAAAAGGTCAAAGTGTTACAAACTCAGGCAGAAAGACAAACTCAGCTTTGGTGTAAAACAGTGAATGAGAAGACGAGCATCCTAAGGCACACAGGGACACAACCCCTCATATGCACAAACACAAAACAAAGGACTCAAATCTCTCCCTCACTCTCCACATCTTAACCTTTCTCAAATGGTAAGCTCCCTTAGGCAGTAACTCTGTCTGGCTTATATATATATACATATATATATACACACACACATATATACACATATATATACATATATACGCACACACATATATGTGTGTGTATATATATACACACACGTATATATATACATATATAAAAAACATTTAGTGCCTAACACATAACTGGGATCATAGAGGTTCTCATGAAATATATGTGAAATTGGAACTTTGCTTCTAATATTTCACCACTGTTGCCATTACCCCGAATGTTAGAAGTGTCTGCAGTTTTGCCTCTAACATGTCATCACTGTTGCCATTTTACCCCTGAATGTTAGAAGTCTTCTATATCCTTAGAAAAGCTTCATGGAGGAAAAGGAACTTCTCTACAGCTTTGCAGCTCTCTGGAGATGCCTGGTTACCAACACGTTTTGACAAAGATGGTCAACATGACCTCTGAGGCTAGCTATACAGGAAACTGTGGCAGACTTTCCATAGCCTATTTCTGACAAAGGATTTAGAAGACGATTTCTAATAATGATATGCTGAACCTCCAGAGACCTCAGAGACCTCATCTACCCAAATACTTTTGATGGGGGGGATGTGAAATACAGCAGTTATGTTCAAGCCAGGCAGACACAGCCTATCCAGGTCATGAAAACAAGACTGTTCTGATAAATACTCTCTCTCATGTCCTTCACTGCCCAGTGAAAAGACCTTTCTTTCCTAATGAAGCCGACACAATGACCAATCTACCATGAGCACTCAGAAGGACACCAATCTTGTATGGCATCTCTGTGCACTGGGCTGTGAGCAGCTCTACTGTTCCTCACGTTTCCTCTGTATGCAGATTTTTGTCTGGACAACTAGATTATAAAATCACCCTAACAAGAAATAAGATTGTGTCTTATTCTTCCCTTGGCTCTAAAATACTTAACACAGGGCTCATATACAAACATATACTCAAATAACATTGTTGACAAACTAATGTCTTCAAAGCTACATGTATGAGTAAGGTAACAGAAGTCAAATCTGTTGGTTTTCCTATGTTCTCTGAGCACAGGACAAGACATCGACACATTTTTGCTCGTAATTAGCATAGCCTATTTCACAACAAAGATGTTCAAGTATATCATGTTTTCTGGCGGAATCTGTGCCACAAAACCCAGATCCCAGTGCACTGCTAGCTGTCTTATTTCTGGCTAGTTAGTGCTGGTAGAGAAAAGAAAAACAGTAGAGGCAACAGTAGGCCAGACTTTCACAGACTGTTTGGTTTGCAACATTTATTTGGGTAACACTTACACTGCCTTGGGCTGTACCTAAGTCTTGCCTTGAGCTAGGAGCCCTCAGAGTGCTTTGTACATAAAGGTTTTCAGAAAACATTTTCTGAATAAATGATTAATTGGCTAAAAGCAATTAACAGCTATTTCAAATTCCATCCTGTTTGGGAGTAACACAAAAGAAAAAAAAAAATCTTAGCTATCCCTGAATAAGGAGCTAACCAATTTTCTTATTTTCGTGCCAGGCTATTAAAGAAAATACTACATGCCAGAAAGAACAGACAGGTGGTAATTCATGGTTTCTAAGGAAACCATTGCCTTCATAAAACTATTTAGCAGTTCTGTATCCTCACAGAGAAGAAACCTTTTTTTTTTCCTTTGAGAGAAAAAATCATTCTCTCTTCAGAAAATACAATTGAGTCACACTGTAACGTGTTTCTTCCTTTTACTAGAGGTAAAGTGAGGTCGGAGGTACATGCAGGGGCTTCCTAGGCAATCATGAATACGTCCAAGAGTGGGGAGGGGCCACCCAGCTTCGGAGGCAAGGCTCTGACCCCGGACTGGAGGGAGAGAAGCACACTCGTCAAAGGGGCCATGACCCCTGACCCCGGCCAAGGACCACGCAGCTCTGCGGGTCCTGGGCCTGCGCTGCAGCCCTCATCACTCTCTGGTCGGTTCAAGCAGACAACTAAGTTGACACGGGTGAAACCCTACTGAAGATCTGGATAAAAGCAGACCAAGGTCTAAGCCAGAGAACTGAGGAGTGAAGAGAGGGGGAGCTGCCCATCTGGATGGATTCAACGTGTCCCAAGTGAGAGCACTTAAGAAGGAGGTCCGAGACACTCAGCATCCAAGTGGAATTTAACACAATTCTGAAACTTTTTATTGATTTTTTTGTACAAAAACAAGTATTGTTTTGCAAAAGAACTGATTTCAGGTGCTTCTGATGCATCAGATATTAGGTTGAGTCATCGCAGTTTTTGCCATTACTTTTGCACCAACTTCATAGAATAAGGCCATTATTACTGACTGAAAAAAGTTTAAAAATATAAAAACAAGTAACAACAAAAACAATGACAAGTTATAAGGAGAAGAATTTGCTGCGTGTCCAGACACTGGTATTGAACGATCAGAGAAGAGCTGGTTAAAACCTTGGTACCTTAGCAAACTATGCAAATTTTTAAACAAAGTAAGTGAGTCACAAGAAGAGTCAACTTCAGAATGTACTGGCCAGTTTGATGCCGGTTTCCATCCTGCTTTCTTTCTAGAAGATAAGGTGATACCCAACGTATCTGGGAATCCAACTTCAACACATTTTCTGTAATTGCTGACTCAAAAGGAAACACTTCAAAATGGAGAACCCAAAGTATTCTTGTTTTATAAAGAGGAAAAAAAGTAATTAAAAAAGGGATGGGGGAGAAGGAACTGATTACCTTGACCTTGAATTGGATATAATTTTGAAACTTGTCAGAAAGTATAGCTCATCAACGTTCCTTTTTATCTGTTATGCCAGCTATCAATTTATTGTCTTTCAACTCCAAATCTGCCCTTGTTTTTGCCTGCTCTGCAATAACGGAGCTGGACACAGAAACATTTCTCCTTTGCCAGCTGGCATGATGTGAGGTTTTGTGGTAGGGGGCACTGGAGGGGTGCTGGAGGCAGAAGGGGTTTCTCCGGCTGGCTCTGGTTGCTCCTCTAAGCTGACTCCGGGGGAAGCACACCTTGGGCAGCTTTGCAGCAGAGTGCCATGAGTGACGCCCTCATAAACAGCTCCCTCGGCACCTGCCGGAAGAGCTTCCCTGGAGAGCTTTACAGTGAGTGCCACTGGCCTACCACCTTCCCACAGAGGGCTTTCACCAGTACCCTTGGGTTCTGAGATAGCACCTCCCATGGACACCCTCCCTCAGCACCCCAGAGAACAGTTTCCTGGTGACAGCTGCTGGCATGCCACCTCCCTGTGGAGAGCGTCCCCTGGCACCATCTCAGGGCAGCTCTGTGTTTCAGGGAACCCCACCATCCAGCAAGCCAGGACGTCTGGATCTCAGCCTTGGGGATGTATCACTCCTTCACATTTATTCCTACCCCAGATGCTCCATCTCAGCCCCAGGGATAGTGACTGCTCCTCTATCTGCTCCTCCTGTGCACCCCCTTTTTCTTTTGAGGTGAAGTTTCACTCTTGTCACCCAGGCTGGAGTGCAGTGGCATGATCTCGGCTCACTGCAACCTCCACCTCCCAGGTTCAAGCAATTCTCCTGCCTCAGCCTCCAGAGTGGCTGGGATTACAGGTGCACACCACCACACCCGACTAATTTTTATATTTTTAGCAGAGACAGGGTTTCACCATGTTGGCCATGTCGGTCTCAAACTCCTGACCTCAGGTGATCTGCCCGCCTCGGCCTCCCAAAGTTCTGGGATGACAGGTGTGAGCCACCGCTGGTCTCAAACTCCTGACCTCAGGTGAGCTGCCCGCCTCGGCCTCCCAAAGTTCCGGGATGACAGGCTGAGCCACCACGTGAGGCTTCTCCTGTGTACTCTTGAGAGTCTTCTTTACTCCTCATGAGCCAGTTTCCCATTCCATGATTCCCACATTATAGTAGAAATAATTCTTTATATTAAACTTTCCCTATTCAAATTACTGTGTAGTTTCTGTCTCCTGATCGGACCCTGACTAGATACATCTATGCACAAGATGAAAATTCAAGAAGAATCTACAAAGGAAGATAAAGAAAAATTGATGCAGCTATAATAGAAGAAGATGGAGATGGGGAAAAAAATAGCAACAACAAAACTCTAAATCCAAAGAAGCTGAAAAGACTGTCTGAGATTGGGAGCCTATGAAAGATATCAAACCAACTTGGCAGACACCATCAGCAGAAGTAGATGACGTGAAAGACACAAAAGATGACGCATCACACATTGGATAATTCCATTTATACGAAGTGTCCAGAAAAGGCAAATCTACAGAGACAGAAAGACGAGCAGCTGAGTGGGGCTGCGAGTGGAGACAGGAATTCACTGTAAACTGACACAAGGGATACTACTGGGGCGATGACAATGTTTTCAGGCTGGATTATGGTGATGGCTGCACAACTTGGTAAATTTACCAAAAATCGTTGAGTTGTACACTTGAAGTGGGTGAATTCTTTTTTTTTTTTTTTTGAGACAGGGTCTTGCTCTGTCACCCAGGATGAAGTGCAGTGGCATGATCATGGCTCACTGTAGCCTCAACCTCCCCAGATCAAGCAATCCTCCCACCTCAGCCTCCAGAGTGCTGGGATTACAGGCACGCACCACCACACACAGCTAATTCTAAAATATGTTTTTGTAGAGATGGGGTCTCACTATGTTTCCCAGGCTGGTCTCCAACTCTTGGCCTCAAGAAATCCTCCTACCTCAAGCCTCCCAGAGTGCTGGGATTACTGACATAAACAGTCAGTATGCCCAGCCTAAAAAGCAGCTTTTTAATTGAAAAACATTTCACATTCTTAGTGTAAAACCTGTCATGTGTATAAAAATTTTAAAGCCCCCAAAATGGGGAAAGGAAGCATGCTAGAAAGACCAAATCAAGGCCTGCCTGGTGGTGAGTGCAGATTGGACATGCTCTGAGGGAGAAGTGGCTGACACTCAACACATGCCCCCACAGAGGACTGGGACTAAACACACCGGAAACCAGTTAGAAAGGGAGTCAGGATAACTCCTCCTCAGGCAGGGAAGACTCATGTTAGAATCAATGACAGTCGTTCAGGAGTAGGAAAAAAAGGAACCTAATTACTTTTATTTCTCTAATCTTAAAAAAATTAAGTTGATACCATAATATTTGTACATATTGACAGGGCACAAGTGATATTTTGATACATGCATACAATGTGTAATGGTCAAAGCAGGGTATTTAGAATATCCATTGATTGAACATTTATCATTTCTCTGTGTTGGGAATACTTCGAATCTCTTCTAGCTATTTTGAAATACAGAATATGTCAACTACAGCCACGCTACTGTGCTACTGAACACTAGAACTCATCCCTTCTAACTGTATGGTTGAACCCACTAACCAACCTCTCTTTACGCCCCAACCCACCTCCTCCCCAGCCTCTGTAACTATCACTCTCTTCTCTACCTCCATGAGATCAACTTTTTTAGCTCCCACATATGAGTGAGAACACGGGAGCTCCTGTAATATTTGTCTTTATTTCTCTAAATCTTGATCTAATCTTACACAATTATTTCAAATTCTAATGCCCAACAATATTAAAAGTTTTAATAAAAAGTTCTGGGCCTGGCGTGGTGGCTCACTCCTGTAATTCCAACACGTTGGGAGGCCGAGGCAGGCAGATGACGAGGTCACGAGTTTGAGACCAGCCTGGCCAACATGGTGAAACCCTGTCTTTACTAAAAATACAAAAATTAGCCAGGTGTGGTGGCAGCTGCCTGTAGTCCCAGCTACTTGGGAGGCTGAGGCAGGAGAATTGCTTGAAACCGGAAGGCAGAGGTTGCAGTGAGCCGAGATTGCGCCATTGCACTCCAGCATGGGCAACAAGAGCGAAACTCCGTCTCAAAAAAAATACAAAAGTTCTGAGTTTTGTTGTTGTTTTTGTGTTTTAAAGCCATTCTGAGTAGAAAACTGCTACTTTCTTTCAATTAACCTCACCTACAGGAAACCTACTTATTTGGATCACAAAGCAAGAACAAACATCTACAGCAGTAAATCCTACTTGTACACAAAGTACCCAGAAGAGATGGCTTTCTAAAAGTTGGCTCTGCAAATTCAAAGTTCTAAAGAGACAGTAAGCTTCATACCATTCTATCCTACTTTTGCTGTCTGAATGTGTGGCAGGAGCTTAGGTATAGGTTTGAACTAAAATTCTTCATCTAACTATTCCTTTCTAAACTGTCCACTACCTCCATCAGTCACAATGGCCACTAAATCTAAATTTATCACCATAGGGAAGGATCACCAAGGACAAACTTGTGAGGAAGATTGTTGGGGTCACATGAGGAAGAATCAGTGAGTATCTGAATTGTTCCTGGCTTGTTGTTCTGGCTTAGCTCCAGTTTCTTCCAACTAGTTCTCCAGCCCCTACAGTCCTCGTAACCTTGACAGTTATCACATGATTAAGTATATACGAAAGCTGGTGCAACATTCTCACACATGCATCTACAAGCACATCCACGCTTGCAAAGTAGGCTACCTGAGAACATCGAGGCCAGTGACACTGACAGTCCGTTCTTTGATATGTGAGTCAGGTTAGATCCTTCGCTACCATCTGTGTAATAATGATGATAAAAGGGGGCCCTTAGTATTCCAGCAGGAAATAAACTAATATTCTATACCATATGTTCCTGGAATCAAAACTTGCCATTTGCTCCCAAACATGAAATGGCGTTTAGGAACTTGCATCCTTGGGTAGGTGCTCACTCTAGCTTGGAGGAGAGTTACTGCTACTTCCTACGCCAAGCCCAGCCTCAAGGACCTCCTACGACAGTGGTTCTCAGCCACGGGTGATTATGGCAATGACGGAGGCATTTCTGATTGTCTTGATACTGGGGAGGGGTTACCACTGGCATCTAGTAGGTAGAGGCTAGGAATGACACTAAACATCTTACAGTCCACAGCCCAATCCGTCACAGCAAAGAATGATCTGGCCCACGTGTTGGGAAACCCCGGCCTAAGGTCTTTTCCTTTAAGGATTTCTGTTCTGAAACGACTAGAGAATTACTGATTGAACATCTCCTCAGGGCCTACAACCGCAGCAACAGTTTCTAACAGGAGTGTGCTTTGGGCCTCTCTCTCGGCAGGCTCCTTACAGACTGCACAGCTTCCCGGATCCCTGCTTTGCTGCAGGAAACAGATGTGGTAGTCAAGTGGACGGATCTGAATTTACCTCACTATTCTCCTCCTGAAATTCTGACTGCTGATCCTGGGAGTGAGGTCAGACCCTCTTTCTTTTTTTTTAATTAGGAGATGAAGTCAATCACAGACTATGGTATAACAGTAAATAGATATTTTGTCTTTGTCTCCAGTTCCTGGTGAGAATTCCTAAAATTCTTGGAATTTCTTGAATCATTCAAGAAATTATTCAAAATACGCCCCTTTCAATCATACCTGAGTTTATGCTAATGAGGAGACTCCTGGCAGGCCCCTAGATAGACAGCTTCACAATTGGGGCAATTGGGGGCTATCGAAAGAACCAACCACGTCATTAGAGGGTTAGAGCTTTTACTCCCCCATCGCCTCCAGGGAGGGGAGAGGGATCGAAGACTCAGCCCAGTCACCAGTGGCCGATGACTTAATCGATGGTGCCTATATAATGAAACTTCAATAAAAACTTGAACAATGATGTCCAGGCTTCCTGGTTGGCGAACACATCAATGCACCTGGGAGGGTGGTGCCCCAGACACCACGGGGGCAGGACGAGTTCCTGTGCTCGTGATCTCTTCCTTAGTCCCTGTGTACTTCTTCATGTGGCTGCTCATTTGGATCCTTTACAACAGACTATAAGCATAAGCTTTCCCAAGTTCTGGGCATCATTCAAGCAAATTATCCTGCCTTGGGGAAGGGGGTCGTGGGAATCTCTGAATTTGTAGTCAGCCTACAAGCAGAAGGGCAGGTAGCTTGGTGACCTGTGTCTGGCATCTGAAGCGGAATTAATTTCACAGGACTGTAGCTGCAGGATCCGTGCTAACTCCAGGTAGTTAGTGTCAGAGCTAAATTGTAAGTCACCCAGCTGATGGTAGAGAATTGGAGAGGAGTTGGAAAATCACATACAAACAACCAAACAAACAAAAGGAGTTTTAAATGACTACCTATTGTTGTCATACATAGAAATCAGAGACATTAAGGAGAACATAGAAGGAAGACTTCCTGAATACCTCGAAAATGTGTGAAAAAACGGAGTTTCTGAATGGGAAGAAACATGTGGTTCCTCCATCTGGAGGCCTGTGCAGGCGAATGGGCTCTCTAGATTGTGTAAACAGGAAATCAAAGCCTCTTGCAACACAAGACCTATCTGTCATCACATTATGTTATAATGGAGAATTATAGATACAGTTCACCTCTGTCTACATACACAATGTTGTAACAGAGAATTATAGATACCATTCACTTCAGTAAGGAAACTACTCTTAGTTTCACCCATGAAGGAAGAGCGTTTGTCCCTGAACTGTTTTTTTGTTTGTGTGTTTGTTTTGCTGATGGGAACTTGAAGAGATCTATGATTTGCAGGAGTGGGACATTAACCTGATTTAACATAACTGCCTTCCCAGACTGGAACCCCACTGTTCCTCTATGCTGATACTCCTACCACCACCACCACCACCAATAAAAACAGAGTCTGTGACTGTGCTGAGCAGTGAGCACCGACCGCAAGGGCAGAAATTCAAGCTCTACTTTGTAAACCTGATGTTTTTCCTCTTTTGTCCCCCTGCCCCCAATGATTCTTTTTGTCCTTTTCTCTTTTGAACACTCTGAAACAATTTCAGTTGTGTTATGGAACCCAAGAGAATAGGATTCTAATTTCAAGTGGTATGGACCAGCCCTACAAGCTGAAAGGAGGAGTCAGAGTGGGAACCCAGGAGAAAGACACCACTGAGGAGGACGCGTCAGGGTGACATCAACGAGCAGCCACTCCATCCACCTGGAACACCTGCTTCCAGTGTTCTTCCCTACTGAAACTGTGAAGGGGTTTTGTTTTTAGCAGAAGGCTGTCCCTTACAATAGCTAACAACAATCCATAATGAAGATCTTCTACTTAGGAAACACTTCGCAGCTTATCATTCTAAATGGAAAGAAACAGAATAAAAGTTCCCTTGTAACAAAGTGTCACTTCTTACCTTGGATTTCAAATTCATCAACCTCATCAGCAGAGCCAGAGTCAGAGAGCTGTGCCGAATCACGTGAGCTGAACTGGGAGCTGCTGGAGGTGACCCGAAAGCCTGTTATGTTTAAAAACAAAAAGGAATAAACAGGGCAGAAAGAGGTCTTCTTGTCCTTCCAGTGTCACAATATAAGGGATCTGATATGACCTCAACAGAGAGAAATGGAAACTTTCCCTTTAGAAAGTTTCAAGTAAATAGAAGGTACTACTATCTGGGAAGCAAATCTGGGAGCAGTGTTCTTAGGTCTCCTCATATCAGGAAGCTATTTGGGAAGGGAGCTATTCCTTTATTTATATATATACATATATATATTTAGAGCTGGGGTTTCACCATGTTGGCCAGGCAGGTCTCAAACTCCTGGCCTCAAGTGATCCACCCGCCTCGGCCTCCCAAAGTGCTGGGATTCCAGGCGTGAGCCACTCTGCCTGGCCTGGAAGGCAGGTATTTCTGATGCAGGAAACGGAGCGACTCTAGGATGAGTATTCCTAGCATGATAGAAAAAAAGTAGGACTACATAGAAACATCTGACAGCAGAGGAACCACTGGTTTGGGCACCAGGCCTTATGCTGAAGTTGGGAAAATGTGGGAACAGAAGCATCCACAGGCTCCACTGACTTCCGTGCTCAGCCTCCTGGTACATGGGGAGCAGGTTCTTGGTGCGGATTTGCTGGCGCCGAAGGCGGATCTTCTGCTTCAGCTCCTGGATCTCTCTATCACTGTCTTCCTCTTCCACTTCCTCCTCCTCTAGGCACTGGCTCATCATGTTGCACTTCATTAGCTCGATGGCAGCAATTAAGGACTCTGAGATGCTGAAGTGGGCATTCTCCTGGCGGAAGGAGAGCACCAAACAGGCAAAGGGTTAGAAGTATTGAATGACATACTCATTATAATGTGGAAAAGGGAGTTTCCAAGATAGGAACTGTTCCTGCCAAAAACACCCTGGAGAAATGGACATTTCTACTACGAGGAAAGCTGATGGCTGGAAAACCTATTCTAGGTTTTCTTCACTCTCTTACTTTGCCAAGCCTGTCCCTTCCTGTCTCATTTCTACATAAAAATATGATAGAGAAGAGGCCCAGGATTTCAATCAGGTTCTTTCCCAAAATCATACACCTGTACACAAAATATTAAGATAAATGCTATGTCTCAAGATAAAAGTGCTTTGTAGTCTATAAAATGCTACACAGATGTCATTTATTGCTTATCTGAGCCTTAGAACAAAAGATAGAATTTGATTCTGGAAACAGTATTTACCTAAGGTGCCAGAGTCAAGGGAACCGCAATCATGCAGCAAAAACAATGCTGCCAGACGCAGCGGCTCACACCTGTGAATCCCAGCACTCTGGGAGGCCAAGCCCAGGAGTTCAAGACCCCAGACGCAGCGGCTCACACCTGTGAATCCCAGCACTCTGGGAGGCCAAGCCCAGGAGTTCAAGACCCCAGACGCAGCGGCTCACACCTGTGAATCCCAGCACTCTGGGAGGCCAAGCCCAGGAGTTCAAGACCCCAGACGCAGTGGCTCACACCTGTGAATCCCAGCACTCTGGGAGGCCAAGCCAAGGAGTTCAAGACCCCAGACACATGGGCTCACACCTGTTAATCCCAGCACTTAGGGAGGCCAAGCCCAGGAGTTCAAGACCAGCTTGGGCAACACAGGGAGACCTCCCCCATCTCTACAAAAAAATAAAAAAAATAGCCAGGTGTGGTGGTGCATGTTTGTAGTCCCAGCTACTCGGGAGGCTGAGGCGGGAGGATTGCTCGAGCCCAGGAATTTGAGGCTGTAGTGAGCCATGACCGTGACACTGCACTCCAGCTTAGGTGACAGAGCAAGACTCTTGTCTCAAAAAAACAAAAACACACACACAAACTTGATGCTTCTCTGCCCAGGTTGGCTTCTAAGATAAAATCGCTAATAATTTGGACTCAGTGAGGGGCACATGCTCCCTGCAGAGTTCCTCAGAAACAGAACTTGCTGAGCTTCCCTTTACCGTGAACTTATCTTTACTGTAATCTATACCCAAAACCTCATCAGAACAAATGGCACCACAGACCTTCAGACCCAATCTCCCAACTCATGAGCTCTTCATGAGGCCCTCGATTTCCCACCTTTTCCAGGTCGGCACAGCTGCCGAAGTCTTGCTCAGAGAGGTAGCTGATGAGGGACTGTCCTTCTGATGGTCTTCGGAACATGCCTTCCCCTGAGCACAGGTACCGACCACCTTCTGTGGGAAATGGAATGTGGATGAAACAGCCAGGCTTCTTCAGGAAGTCTTAAGCTTTTGTCATTAAAGATGCTCCCAAGTCTTCCCAGGTAACTGGGAATTAGAGGTTGGAAGAAGATGTCCACCTTCTAAAAGAATTTCTTGCACTTTGGGAGGGCAAGGCAGGCGGATCACAAGGTCAGGAGTTTGAGACCAGCCTGGCCAACATGGTGAAACCCCATCTCTACTAAAAATACAAAAATTAGCTGGGCATGGTGGCACATGCCTGTAATCCCAGCTACTCAGGAGGCTGAGGCAGGAGAATCATCTGAACCTGGGAGGCGGAGGTTGCAGTGAGCCAAGATCGCACCACTGCACTCCAGCCTGGGCAACAAGAGCAAAACTCTGTCTCAAAAAAAAAAAAACAAAACAAAAAAGAATTTCTTGGACTCTTAGAATCCCAGAGCACTAAGCCTCTTGGTTGGAAAACGGTAGAATAAACAGAGAGAATCCTTCTGCCATCTAAAATTAAAGAGAACATGCTCTCCCTCGTACCATACAGTAAAGAAAAAACAAAATAAAAATGTAGAACTTTGGGCTGGGAGGCAGAAAAGGACACAAATGGCTTCCTCCTCTGCATGATTTCCACATAGAGTCTGTCTGCTGGTTACTAAGCCCAGATACTCCAAGGCCTCTTTTCAAGGTCCATCTCATCCACTCAGAGAGCCATCCCATCTGGACCAGCCGACGTACCCGGTGCGAACACCCAGCACGTAAGAGAGGGTGGGACCCCCAAGTCAGAGAGAAGCAAGAGAAATGGCAGAGCAGTGTGATTTCTAGCACGGGGGTTAAAAATGACAAAAGAGTGACTGAGACTGTAACAGTGTGTACCCTCCAGAGAGCTGAGATGAACCCCAAAACTCAGAACTTAGCAGGCACAAGGGGTGAGCAGAGAAAATATACAATTTTAGCCCTGGCCTTCCTAGTACTCACCATATTCCATGTACAGAGAGCTGGGTGTGCTGACTTCACTGCTTTGACCAGAGTAGGGCAAAGGGCCTCTCAACTTCGCCTTATCATTGCAGGATTCTAATGACGATGACCACCAGCGAGTAAAAACACATACGAAATGAGCAACAGGTACATTCCCAACTCTGGAGTTTCAACACTTAACTGCACCCCTTCCCAAAGCCCTCCCAAGCAGGAGAGAGGCGGCACACCAACGGAACAGCCCAAGGGTACAGAAACACAGGGAGGGAAGGAGATGGCAGGTCAGTACATTCTAAGTGGAAAAGAAGAAACGTGATCCAGAATGGGGCAACATAAAGGAAAGAATCAAATCAAAATGGATTCATGGAATTTGCTTCTCTTTCCTTACATCTTTTAACCAAACATTACAGGAATATCAGCTGATTCCTATCCTCTTGACAAACCAATTTAGAAAAGTCTTTAGATGGTAAAACAAAGACAAGTGCATTGAAACTTTTCTGACATCTTGACATTAGGTTTTAAAGTAACATCAGAAGATTTACATTCACTAAGGAAATAAAATTCAGCAGCATCCTAAAAAGAAGCATCAAGGCAGTGCTGGAGAAGCCCAGGGAGAGGGCCCTGTAAGCAAAGGGCTCCGTTACGGGGCTCGGCCCGGCCTTACTGAAGAAGGGAGGGAGGGAAGGCTGGCGAGACAGACAATGCCTGGGACAGGAAGAGCGAGAGCTGGGAGGGAGAACAGTAGCAGGCAGGGTTTGCAGGAATGAGAAACTGATATTCTTCACAAGGAAACACAACATTTCCAGGACCACAGAAGGAAGAACAGGTGGAAAAGCAGGTGGGTGCTTGAAAATGAGCAGGATGCTGTGGGAGAGTGAATGACTGAGCTGCATCTAACCCATTTCCCTGACAGATGTTACCAACTTGCTCCTCTCACAAAAAATGCTACTCTGTGCAAGAGACAATTTTGTGTTCTTCTTGGGCCTCAAAGACTTCTGGTAGCCCTGGCTGTGGGCTCTGTTCCTTCCTACTGAACTGAGGACAAACTAGTAGTCGCCACGATGCCTTGGTAAAAAACCATGATATGACTTGGAAGGGACCTTCAAGATTCCCAAACAGCACACAACACAAACTCCAACACGACCTTAACCTCTTTACAACATGTGGCCATTCAGCCTTTACTTACTGAGTTCACTACCTCCTAATGCCACCATTTAACTAATTCTTAGAATTCCCTTACACTCGTTATCTGCCTTCTTCCAATTTCTTATCTCCTTAAGAAGAACGCTATTCTAAATGATGGTCCTACAGACTTTATTCCTCTTTAACCATCTGTTTTCCAAGCTAACATACCCAATGGCCTCACCCACTTCCAGGAGGCCACGGCTTTCAGCCCTCTCTCAATACTCTGCCTTGCAGACACATTCCAGTGTTCATGTCCATGAATTATGGTACCCAGGATGGAACACAAATCTCAGTTTGAACACCACCATGAACACCAAGGAAACAGACTGAAATAACTAGAAGAATCCTATGCAATAGCTGGAATGGGGTGCAGGGATTTATAGGGAAATGAAAACAGGTGAAAGAAAAAGGAAACGGAACTGCAGGAGAGGGAAAAAAAACAAAAAAACAAAAAACAAAAAAACCAAACATGCAAGTATATCTAAGACCACAGAAAGGGGATAAAATACATTCTGGTGTTAATTCAAGGAAAATAAAGTAATCCATAGGAAGTATTCAGTTATAAGAAAAATTCTGGGCCAGGTGTGGTGGATCACGCCTGTAATCCCAGCACTCGGGAGGCCAAGACAGGAGGATCACTTGAAGCCAGGAGTTCAAGACCAACCTGGGCAATGCGGTGAAACCCTGTCTCTACAAAAAAAAAAAAAAAAAAAAAGTAAAAAAAATTTAAAAAAAGAAAAAAAAGTCTGCTACTGATTCATCATGATGCCTCAGACAAATAGCAGGCCTCAGTTTCACCTTTGGGCAAAACTGAATTGATAAGTCTTGACTCTGCCTCCCAGAAGCTGTTGAGAGACTGAACGAGGCATTTGGAATTGTGTATAGAAAACACATCATATGAAATACTGGTATCATTTTATAGACAGTTCCAAGCATCACAACAAGACCAGGCTAGCCAGACTTGATTTGACACCAGACTGAAGGAGGTTCTGAACTAAGAAAGGTGGTCACAAAACAGAACAAAGAGGAGGTGGAGGACCGATTCCCAAACCTGCAATGGGATCTTCAACTATAATGGTGATATTCCTGGGGCCTCCTGCCGGTAGACAGACAGGTGCAGAGGAGAGTCCAGATAGAGCAATGAGAATACAGAGAGAGAAAAAAAGTGTCCTAAATTTTACCCAGCAGAAGTGGGGATGGAACTCCCAAGAGGAAACCCCAGTTGTGAAGGACGGATGGCTTGTCCAAGAAGCTGTGCGTGACCCATATTTCCTCAGATCCTTCCGCACACATTTTCGCGGGCTCCCTTTTTCCAAGGCAGGATTCCACTGGAATCCATATGGATTCAAGAATGGGGCGGGAAAGTTTTACATGCTCAAAGGCCAGTGGCTTGGAGTATGGCAGACATCAGGCCTGCAGCAGGAGATGTGAAGTGAGGGTCCAGCCCAGTCATCTTCACATCTAAGAAAGCTCATGGGAAGACAGGCTTTGATTTGGAGATTCTTCTCCTCAAGATTTCCAACAAGTTAAATCACATTCTTGAGGGAAAACAAAGACAAAAGTTTGTAATTCTGAAGGTTTCAGATGAGGGCCTTAGCTCTCACCTTTCCAGAAATTACAAAGAGAAAGCAACGCTATCTCCAGTTGCTAAAGAAACCGCCCCCTCTTTTTTTTAGGTCCTTGAATTTTTCACATTTTATTTTTATATTTTATTTCTGGGGCTTTCCTGACCCAGAATGGCTTTGAGCACAAAGCTCCATGCTATACTTCCTCTTATGGAGATCCTACTACAAACAAAACCCAACCAAAGCCTGCCGGATACCACAAGCCGGGAAGGATGATGGCAGGGAGATGGCAAAAGCAAGGAGCCCCACCTTCCCCACGAGTAGGCTGCCCCTGCTATCAGCTGGTGTTTGGTGAGGGAGGTCCCAGCTGCCAGGGCCTCCTTATCTGACGGCCTCTCACCCTGAATCAGTGATGCGGCCGTCAGCCCCACCGACTCAGTTGCTGGATCGCATCACCCTGCACTCACTATAGCCTTCGTTTTAATTAGAAACCCCAGTATCTCTCTGCCTCTCTCACATTGGTATTATTACACCCTGGGCAAACTTCTAAGACGTCACAGGAAATGACAGAACTTAATGGGATTATTTTTAAAGCTCAATAATACTTTCCCCAATCCAAGAGATACTTTGAAAACTCGCACTATGAGTCACGCTATCCTCTGATGTTACCAAACTAGTAAAGAATCCAGGAAAACATTTAATATTAGCAATGTATAAAGAAACAAACATAAATAGACTTAGAGATTTTGAGTCTCAGTATTTCGTTATAAACTTCTTTCATTACAAAATAAGATGTTGTATCACCAGAAACAGAACATCTCTTTCTGCCACCTGAAAAGTCCCCATAACAAGCCCTCTCTTACTCTCAATTCAGGGTCATCTTGCTAACTAGCAGCCGGTGTTCCTCATTACCTGGAGCTCCCCTGGAGGCAATGCTGGTATCCGAATGGGAGCGAATGTGGCTTTTCTTTGCCCCACTGGTGACAGTGAGTGTCTGCCCCTCTGAGAAGCTGGACCTGCGGAGGACACTGGACAGCTGGCTCTCCCCACCTCCTTCCTGGTCCCCTAAGGAAGAGGCAGCAGAATCTGGCTTCTGGGAGCTGCTGGAGGAGAACAAATTGGAACTGCTGCTCTCGGCATTGCTGCTGTGACTCTGACAGCTGGCAGTCCGGCCTCGGGGGTCCAAGTTGCCAATGGCCAGGTACTCAGGCCCCTCACTGGCATCACCTGGGGAATCATTCTGGCTGCTGACCCAGGATGCCTCTATGGGGCTGGTCAGAGTACTGGAGCTCATTTCATTTGGGGTCAAAGGGGAATCCCTGGCTAGTGCAGAGACTGAAACTGGGGGGGCTTGGATGGTTTGATCCTCTGCTGGTGAGACGTGCCCTCTGCTTTCTTGAGGTTTCCGGGGAGGGCCAGAGAGTGGAAAGGAAGTAGATCTTCTCTCTAGAATATAAAAGGAAATGGTAAGGGGAGCAAGGGTGAGGTGGAATCCTGCAGTATGTATGAAGGACTGGGTGACCAGGACATACGATGTCACCTCAGAAACGGCAAGCCAAATAAAGTACAAAATTATTTAGAAGCAGCTAAGTCAAGAGTATGGGCTCCTGAGACAGTGCTTTATTGCTTATTAGTATGCATTCCTCATCTGAAAAATGAGCAGTAAGAGGACTGTTTGAAGGCTCAAATGGGATAACACATACAAACTGAACACAACAGAGCCTAGTACATGATTGGCAATCATTCGGTGTTAGCTAGTATTGAAATGCCTTCTTGGCAATGTGGATTAGAAACCCAGGGGAATCTACAAACATCTCTCTCTTCTGTTACTTCATGATTCTACTGAATTATTTCAAGCTAGTCACTATATAACTTGTAAAGATGTCCCTTATTAAGAAAAACTACCAACCCAAGTCTCAATTTTCCAAGCCTATGAGCAACCACAAAGTCTTCTTACTTTCCAGGGCTGGGGATAAATGTAATGACCACTTTTTCCTGTCCCCATACCTGAGCCATTGTTGGGCACGGATTGGTGGAGGCTAGAGAAGGACCCAAAGTAGGAATGCTGAGCATAGCTGTTTGGAGGGGTGTATGTGGAACTGGGCAGGGCTGTCAGGCTCTGGCTCTTTGTCACCAGGAGCGGGCTCTCGTGCTTTCTGGCAAACTAAAAAGCAAAACAAAACCAAAAAATGTGTCAGAGTTAAGGACAAAGGGCCTCAGAGTGGGGGCAACGCAGTACTGCAGAAATGCCATAGAAGCTACCTTTGCAGTAGGCCTGGACTTTAGCCAGAGCCTGTAGATACAGCAAGGCTACCTTCTACTACAGTATGTAATTTACAACTGTGAAACCACAGCATCTGCACTGGAATCCTTCCAGGTGTTAAACCAGGAGTACTTTATTACAGAGGCAGCACAACAAAGTGCTGATGTATGTGGAATCAGAAGTCAGACAGACTAGGGTTCAAATCCAGGCCCTGACACTTATCAGCTATTTGATCCAAACTTTGGACCACGTATCTACTCTGTGCCTCAGCAGCCTCCTTTATAAAATGAGATCAATGCCCACTTCACAGGGTTATGAAGAGTCAATGACATGATACATTTATCATACATAGCACCGTGCCTGGCACATACAAAGTATTAAATGGATAGTAACCAACAATCAAAATTAAACGAATCAGGCCGGGCACAGTGCCTCACACCTGTAATCCCAGCACTTTGGGAGGCCAAGGCGGGCAAATCACTTGAGGTCAGGAGATCGAGACCAGCCTGGCCAACATGGTGAAACCCCGTCTCTACTAAAAATACAAAAATTAGCTGGGCGTGGTGGCGTGCACCTGTAATCCCAGCTACTCGGGAGGCTGAGACAGGAGAATCACTTGAACCCGGGAGGCGGAGGCTGCAGTGAGCCAAGATCATGCCACTGCATTCCAGCCCAGCCTGGACAACAAAGTAAAGACTCTGTCTCAAAATAATAATAATGATAATAATTAATTAAAAGAATCTGGAGAGATAGGGGATCTGCTTCTCTAAGAAGTGGGGACTCTGATTCCATTCTAGCTAAGGCACTGACTGGAGTATTAGTGATGGGATAAGTTAATTTTAGGCAACAAATTTTCTTTGTACTATAAAATTTTCTTTACATCAAAGAAAAAAACATGAAAAAACTGACCCCGTGTAACATTAAGCTATGCCAGGTCTGACACTAAACTCTATCCGATTCAAAACCATCCCTCTTTTCCCCAGATCTTTGTCAAGGCTTGGTATCCTTTGTCAAAAGATACCACAGGTTTAACAAAATCTACCTCCCCACTCCCCAGCTTAGGTCTACTAAGCACACGACCTAAGCCTAGACTTTCTACTTCAATAGGTACTTAACAGTACCTCCCCTCCTCCAAGCATTTTAAATGAAAGCTGGCCGGGCGCGGTGGCTCAGGCCTCTAATCCCAGCACTTTGGGAGGCCGAGGCGGGAGGATCACGAGGTCAGGAGATCGAGACCGTCCTGGCCAACATGGTGAAACTCTGTCTCTGCTAAAAATACAAAAAAATAGCTGGGTGTGGTGGCGGGCGCCTGTAATCCCAGCTACTCGGGAGGCTGAGGCACAAGAATCGCCTGAACCCAGGAGATAGAGGTTGCAGTGAGCTGAGATTGCACCACTGCACTCCAGCCTGGGAAACAGAGCGAGACTCTGTCTCAAAAAAAAAAAAAAAAAAAAAAAAAAAAAAAAAAATGCAAGCCTTTCAGCTCACAAAAATGGCTAAGTGAAAAAGTTTGCTGTAGAGGGCTACATCCTGCTGAGCTCCAGGGACCCAGCATAGACGTGGATAATTCCTTGTCCCCTGTACCATGGACGCATCGATCTGAGCCAGGAGGCGGGGGTTGTTCTGTTCCACTGCTTCCAGGCACTGCAGCATGGCCGTGACATGAGCGTCACTTAGCAGGAAGGCAGCATCTGGGGAGAGAAAAGCTGCCACAGTGATAGAGCCCATCAGGGAGGCCTTGAGAGAAGCTTGAGGAAGCAGAAAGGGAGAGGTAAGGATGAATGAGGAGGAGGGTGAAGGCAGATCAGAAACAAAGTAGAGGAGAAGCTGAAGAACGCGAGGTGCAGCAAAATGGCCAGGGCAAGAGGCTTCAACGTCAGAAAAATCCAGATTTGAATCCTGGCTCTGAGTGACTTTGGCCAAGTCGCCTAACCTCCTGGAGCCCTGTGGATTGGAAACAGTAGCACCAATGCCCAACTCTCGGGGCTGCTGTGAAGATACTGGACAGCAGTGACGGGCACACAGGAAACTCGTGGTAAATGGTGGCTATTCTTACGGTTTGTGTGTGTGGCCGTAGGGGACGACCTTAACATAAAGCTGGATTGTGTCTTACTTGGGAGGTGAGAGGTAAGTCTGGATATATGTTTCTGAGTAGAATCCCTATGGCATCAAGTGAAAAACAGGAGGCCCTGCCGGGCACGGTAGTCACGCCTGTAATCCCAGCACTTTGGGAGGCCAAAGCGGGCAGATCACCTGAGGTTGGGAGTTCGAGACCTGCCTGACCAACATGGAGAAACCCCATTTCTACTAAAATTACAAAATTAGCTGGGCATGGTGGCACATGCCTGTAATCCCAGCTACTCAGGAGGCTGAGCCGGGAGAATTGCTTGAACCCAGGAGGCGGAGGTTGCAGTGAGCCGAGATCACGCCATTGCACTCCAGCCTGGGTGACAAGAGCGTAAGTCCATCTCAAAGAAAAAAAGAAAAATAGGAGGCCCTGGTACCAGAGGGGTAGAGGATAGTGAGGTGGGTGACAACGAGGAAGCACAGATGACAGTCCTAAGTGGCCTCTACCTACCTGTGTAGAATTTTCTGATATACTGTCTATCCCCGAGCAGGGGCCGGAGCTGGGCTGAGAGGCAGTGGTACTGCAGGCTGTGCTGCAGCCACAGCTCGGCAACAGCACGTTCACTGGCACCATCAGCACTGCTCTGGTCGTTCTCGTGCACGCTGATGAACTGGGAAGCAAAGGGGCATGAGTCAAAACACACATCCTGGTAGATACGGCAAGATTGAGGCCTAATGACCTGAGAACTAAATTGAGACAGGTAAGGGAAATGCTTTGAAAGGCTTCACCCTGGGTCCCATGTAGGCAGGCTTTTTTGAAAATAGCAAAACTTTTTTTCCCTTCCCCAGAGGAGAAAAAGTGGCCTGGACCAATGGGTTTGCATGTTTTTTTTTTTTAAGCAAATAAAGTCAGTCCCTACAGGGATAATTAATTTCCTTTCCTCAGCTGATAGGCAACTGGACATATTCCCTCCTTGGAGCCTAGAAGATTCTTCTGACAGAGCCTCAAACAGTGAAGACCCACAGCTCTGCCAGCACAGCCGCTCTGCTCTCACTCTTACCTTCTCCACGTGAAGGGCTGAGTGGGGACTGAGCCACCGGATGTCTTTCACGAACTGCCAGTAATCCGTCTGGCGGCGGCACGCCTGCAAAGGGAACACATACAATGAGCAAATCACGACCATTCTGGACCAGATCTAGTTCTAGGGTTGGCATTCAAAGATAGGAAAAGGACCACAACCTTCCCTTGCCTCATCAAAGGTTCTTAGCAGCAATCAAAGGATACACACAGAGGCCAGGGGTGGTGGCTCACACCTGTAAACCCAGCACTTCAGGAGGACTGCTTGAGTCCAGGTAGACTGGCCCATCTCTACAAACAATTTAAAGCTTACCCCGAGTGGTGGGACATGCCTTAGTCCCAGCTACTCAGGAGGCTGAGGTGGGAGAATCACTTGAACCTGGGAGGTCAAAGCTGCAGTGAGCCATGATTGTGCCACTGCACTCCTGCCCAGGCAACAGAGTGAGACCCTAACTCAGAAAAAAAAAAAAAAAAAAGAAAAGGAATTAAAAAAAAAAAAGGAATACTACACTTGACATATGTTTACCCTTTTAAAGAATAATTGTTAAAGATTATTTTAACCATTCTTTTGAACAGGTAACATATGCATATGACATACAAGGTATACAGTAAAAATAATGTTTTCTTTTTCTTTTTGTTTGAGACAGAGTCACTCTGTCACCCAGGCTGGAGTGCAGTGGCGTGATCCAGCTCACTGCAACCTCCACCTCCCATGCTGAGGCGATTCTCATGCCTCAGCCTCCCGAACAGCTAGAACTACAGGCACATGACATCACGCCTGGCTAATTTTTGTATTTTTAGTAGAGATGGGGTTTTACCATGTTGGCCAGGCTGGTCTCAAACTCCGAGCCTCAAGTGATCTGCCCGCCTTGGGTCACTTGTGTTGGGATTACAGGCATGAGCCACCGTACCCGGCTGAAAATAATGGTTTCTACTCCTTTCTCTCTACCGTTCTGTTTTCTAAAAAATAATTCTTAAAACTGGTAAAGAGCTATTGTTAAAAGCCAGAGCTGGATGTCTTTAGCCCCTACTGCAAAAGCAAAATCAAATAAGGAAACATCTACTTTTCCACGCCACCCAGGTCAGGGAAGAGCTGTGGAGGCAAAGAAATGCCCAGACCAGATGAAATGGTCTCACGCTGGGACAGGCCTCAACATGCAAAATGTTTGTACCATAACAACCCAATTGTTGTTTTTCGATAACCTTTTCTGAGACTACTGGGTAGGGATTAAAACTAAAATCTAAATAATTAAAAATATATAGAGCTAGCACAAGTATCAAGAGACAGACCAGGCCAGGCACGATGGTTCATGCCTGTAATCTCAGCACTTTGGGGGGCTGAGGTGAGCGGATCACTTGAGCCCAGAGTTTGAGACCAGCCTGGGCAACATAGCGAGACCCCATCTCTACTAAAAAATCCAAAAAGTTAGCCAGGTGTGGTGGCACATGCCTGTAGTCCCAGCTGCTTGGGAGGCTGAGGTGGGAGGATCACAAGAGCCCAGGAGGCAGAGGTTGCAGTAAGCCGAGATCGTGCTACTACACTCCAGCCTGGATGACAGAGAGAGATCCTGTCTTAAAAAAACAAACAAAAAAAGAGACAAAGACCAATCAATGGTACAAAATAAATAGCCTGAAAGAGACCTTAAGATATATCAGAACTTAATACACGATCTAAAACCACCTCAACAGTCAGAGGTGCTTCTTTGTAAAAAGTCTTTCTTCTCGCCTCTATACTGCGAGGGTAGAAGTGAGAACCGGAAATGTCAGATGTGCAGGCTCTTTTGACAATAAACATCATGAAGACCTTCAGTATTCTGGTGGTAGTGCGGCAGGGACTCTGGTATCTGGTTGAGTGGATTTTAAGTGGCCAGCCAGGGCTGGGCAGCCGTGGGACATCAACTCCAGCATGTCTCTTGGTTACATCATTTTTAAGTGAAAAGCGTGTAAAATTGTGGCCGGGCGCGGTGGCTCACGCCTGTAATCCCAGCACTTTGGGAGGCCGAGGCAGGCAGATCACGAGGTCAGGAGGTCAAGACCACAGTGAAACCCCGTCTCTACTAAAAATACAAAAAAATTAGCTGGGCGTGGTGGTGGGCGCCTGTAGTCCCAGCTACTCGGGGGGCTGAGGCAGGAGAATGGCATGAACCCGGGAGGCAGAGCTTGCAATGAGCCGAGATGGCGCCACTGCACTCCAGCCTGGGTGACAGAGCGAGACTCCGGTCTCAAAAAAAAAGAAAAGCATGTAAAATTGGTTTCTTTTCTTCAGACAAAATTTTAAACTAACTTAAACCCTTAAATAAACTACTTTTTTGTTTGGGAAAAAAAATGGAAAAAATTGATTATTCAAGAAATATTGTTGAGAAAATTGGCTGGCTAGAAGTAGACCAATTTAGGCATTCTCCTCAAATCATAGAAAATAAATATGATTTATTTTATAAATTCCAGAATAAATTCCACCTGTATTGAAGAGTTAAAAAGGAAAAAGGAAACTACAAATCCACTAAGAAAAGTAAGGATATTGGATTTCTATGCAGATAAAAGTTACAATGTTTAAAAGCAGAAGTGCAAATCAAGCCGGGTACAGGGGCTCACGCCTGTAATCCCAACAATTTGGGAGGCTGAGGTGGGAGGGTCACCTGAGTCAGGAGAAGTTCGAGACCAGCCTGGTCAACATGGTGAAACCCTGTCTCTACTAAAGATACAAAAATTAGCCGGGCATGGGGCACATGCCTGTAGTCCCAGCTACTCGGGAGGCTGAGGCAGGAGAATCACTTGAGCCTGGGAAGTGAAGGTTGCAGTGAGCTGAGATCAAGCCACTGCCCTCCAGCTTGGGCAATAGTGCAATACTCTGTCTCAAAAAAAAAAAAATAATAATAATGCAAGTTCTGATTCAGCAGGTCTTTCCTTGCTACAAAAGTGCAAATCATAAAGGAACAGAGAGAGGGATAAATTTTATGAATAAATTTCTTTACATAAAAAAAGAATGTTTAGCATTTTTTATGATAGCAAATAAAGAAAAATATGTAAACAATTTTTTTTTTTTCCAAGACGGAGTCTTGCTCTGTCACCCAGGCTGGAGTGCAATGGTGCAATCTCGGCTCACTGAAACCTCTGCCTCCCAGGTTCAAGCGATTCTCCTGCCTCAGCCTCCCGAGTCGCGGGGATTACAGGTGTCTGCCACCACGCCTGGCTAATTTTTGTATTTTTAGTAGAGATGGGGTTTCACCATGTTGGCCAAGCTGGTCTCGAACTCCTGAACTCAGGTGATCCACCCACCTCAGCCTCCCAAGGTGCTGGGATTACAGGCGTAAGCCACCACACCCGGCCTATATGTAAACAACTTGAACATTTATCAGTAGAGTACTGGTTAAATTAGGGTACACTTGTAATATATACACATTAAAAGCAATGCTACGAAGAAAAAAAAAGACTACAGTGGTAGACTCAAAAAAAAAAAAAAAAAAAAAGAGCAATGCTATATTCTTTGCTGAAAGAATGGCTTTCCAATTCTCCCAACGTTGCCAAAGAAGCACTCAAGTTGGGTATAGATAATTCTCTAGAATAAACATGCACTTTTACTCCCACCAATTGAGTTGTGGCTTACCAAGAATCAGTTATTTTTGTTCCCAAACCTATTCCTGTCAGTTGTACTTGTTATAATTTCACATTTAAAGTAATGATTATGCACTTTGAGGAAATGACTGTATTTATAAACACTAGTATGCTCTGAAAAGCCTTTTCAGTAAAGGTAAGTCACTATAAAGAGTTGATACTGAATTAGGTGGAGGCAAGACAATTTTCAGAAGTTAGGGGAAAAATGAAAAATGAAAATTTTATATTCATACTACAGGATTTTTTAAATTGCTGGCTCAGTATAAAAGAAATTGAAACTGGAAATTCTATCGCATAGTTTATATAAGAAAGATGATACAGACTCCATCAGTGGGCCCATACTCACAGAATAGGCTTTGACCCAATATCCTAAGATTGTTGAATAGATATAAATTTATGTTTTAAATTAAAATAAAATGTTTGAGTTACATATATTATCACTACTTGATTTCCCTCACTTCGTCAATCAGTTAATGATCCAGGTCATGTTGCATAAGCAGTTTTTTCCTGTTCTTATCGAAAAATGGTGTGGAGTTCACAGAGTAAATAAAAGAACAAATGTTTGCATGTTGAGGGAAAAACCACCACCATCACCACCACCACCACCAACAGATGCTGTAAGAATGAGGAACTACCCGCTACCATAATGAAAAGCTACTATGGGTTTTTTTTTTCTTTGAGACGGAGTTTCTCTCTGTTGCCCAAGCTGGAGTGCAATGGCGCGATCTCGGCTCACCGCAACCTCCACCTACCAGATTCAAGCAATTCTCCTGCCTCAGCCTCCTGAGTAGCTGGGATTACAGGCTTGCGCCACCATGCCCGGCTAGTTTTGTATTTTTAGTAGAGACGGGGTTTCTCCATGTTGGTCAGGCTGGTCTCAAACTCCCCACCTCAGGTGATCCGCCTGCCTCGGCCTCCCAAAGTGCTGGGATTACAGGGGTGAGCCACCGCGCCCGGCCTGAAAAGCTACTATATTAAAACTGAGTGGTGATGGCAAATAAACAGAGAACAACACACCAGAATAGAAATTGAGAAGTTGATACAAATGCATAGGAAATTAAATACATTCCAAATAAATTACAGATGGAACAATTTGAATGTAAAAAACTAAGCCATAAAAGTAATAGACAAAACCATGGGAAAACACTCTTAATAACTGCAGAGTAGGCTGGGTGTGGTGGCGCACACCCGTTTAATCCCAGCATTTTGGGAGGCAGAGGCAGGCGGATCACTTGAAGTCAGGAGTTCGAGGCCAGCCTGGCCAATATGTGAAACCCTGTCTCTACTAAAAATACAAAAATTAGCCAGGCGTGGTGGCATGCACCTGTAATCCCAGCTCCTCGAGAAGCTGAGACGGGAGAATTGCTTGAACCCAGGAGGCGGAGGTTGCAGTGAGCTGAGATCGTGCCACTGCACTCCAGCCTGGGCAACAGAGTGAGACTCTGTCTCAAAAAAAAAAAAAAATCACACAGTAGAAAAGCCCTTTCTAAGCACCACACAAAGCCCTAAGAGAAGTCATAAAAGAACTGATTAATTTGACTTACTAAAAGTCAGATATTTTGGCACAGTAAAAGCCACCATAAGAAATGTCAAAAGACGGCCGGGCGCGGTGGCTCATGCCTATAATCCCAGCACTTTGGGAGGCTGAGGCGGGTGGATCACCTGAGGTCAGGAGTTCAAGACCAGCCTGACCAACATGGTGAAACCCCATCTCTACTAAAAATACAAAATTAGCTGGGCATGGTGGCACATGCCTGTAATCCCAGCTATTTGGGAGGCTGAGGCAGGAGAATCGCTTGAACCCCAGAGTCAGAGGCTGCGGTGAGCTGGGATTGTGCCATTGCACTCCAGCCTGGGTAACGAGTGAAACTCCATCTCAAAAAAAAAAAAAAAGAAAGAAATGTCAACAGACAAACTAGGAAAAAATATTTGCAACTCCCATTACAAAGGACTAATTTCCTCAATAAATAAAGAATATCTATAAATCAGTAGGAAAAGACTAAATCTACTGAAAATAGGAATAAAATAGGAAAAAGTTCACAGGGAAAAAAATTCAATGACACTTATAATATCTTTTCATGCTAAGAGAAGTGTAATCTTTTACTTTTTTTTTTTTGAGATGGAGTCTTGCTCTGTCGCCCAGGCTGGAATGCAGTTGTGTGATCTTGGCTCACTGCAAACTCTGCCTCCTGCCTCCTGGGTTCAAGTGATTCTCCTGCCTCAGCCTCCCAAGCAGCTGGGACTACAGGCACATGCCACTAAGCCCAGCTAATTTTTGTATTGTTAGTAGAGACAGGGTTTCACCATATTGGCCAGGCTGGTCTCAAACTCCTGACCTCGTGATCCACCTGCCTTGGCCTCCCAAAGTACTGGGATTACAGGCGTGAGCCACCACGCCTGGCCTCTGGTGAGGATATTTATATACATAACTTCCTGGAGAGTAATTTAGCAATAGCTATCAAAATATCAAATGCACATGCCCTTTAAGAATTCTAGGAATTTATCCTACGGTAAAGGGCAAAATTATTTATACACAAGCACTGTTACTAATAGCAAATGATTGGAAACAATCTAAATATCCATTCACCAGGGGACTGGCTAAATAAGTGATGGTACATACGTACAATGGAATATTATAAAATGACAGCTGTAAGAAAGAATGAAGAAGCTCTCTATGTAATGATTTCGGATGAATTACAAAACATATTAAGTGAAAAAGGCAAGATACAGAATAGTTACTACAGTATGCTATTATTTATATTTAAAAACTTGCAGGTATAGCAAAGAAAATCATTGGTAATTGCTTTTATAAGCATAAAAATTCTCTGGAAGGGCTGGGCATGGTGGCTCATGCCTGTAATCCCAGCACCTTGGGAGCCAAGCTGGGAGGCTGCCTGAGGCCAGGAGCTTGAGACCAGCCTGGGCAACATAGTGAGACCCTGTCTTTAAAAAAAATTTTTAATTAAAAAAAAAAATTCTCTGTAAGGAAACTAGTAAATGGTAGTTTTTTATGTGATCAGAAGGGAGCAAGACTTTTCACTGTATAGTTTTATACTTTTTTGATTATCTAGCTACGTAAAATACAGTGTTCAAAAATTAAATATTTTTCAAGTTATAGAGTGATATATATAGTACAACCTTAATGTTTTTTTTAAAACACATAAATACATAGAAAAAAGCAGAAAATATACCTCAATGTTAGAGTGGTGACTATCGCTTGGTGTTGGGATTATGGGTGATATTTACTTTCTTCTAAAGTCTTTTAGGTATTTTCTGAATTTTCAACAAAGAAAATATATTACCTACATTACATATTCAGAAAAAAACCACAGAGGTCTTTTTTTCATTATTGATTTTTTTTTAATTGGACCATCTATGCTGCCAAGAACTAGTTTCTTCTTGATTGTGGCAAAAGGAGGAATCCTTTCACTTCTCCTATTCAGCTGAGCAATCTCAGGGGCTAAATGTCTCCACATTTCTAAGCAACAGAAAAGAGGCTATCAAATATGCCTTGCCTTCTGGAAGGACTAAAAAGGTAGCCCAGATGCAGCTGTCAAGAAAAATGAGATCCCTCTAAGAATACGATCATGATGTTACAGCTTTCCTAAGGCCCTGAGTGAATTTTTAAAAATACAATTCACATTCCATAACGCATCCTCCTGAGAGCCCAGAGGGGACATGAGCAGCATGAATCACTGTATCAGCCCCTCCTCCTGACGAGGGCACAACACCCAGAATAGCTCGGTGATGACGCAGCAGCCTGAAACCTTTGAAAGCCCTCATCTTTCAGAGGGAGGAAATGAAAGCGAAAAACAAGTTCTTGACGCAGACTTTAATTCTCAGATCTTTACCAGGCAGAACAGAGCAGCAAGGAAACCGGCACGGATCTTTTGATTCTTCCCACTAGAGCCTGCAGTTGCTAAATGTGTGTGTGTCCATATGACAAATCTGCCTGATTAGCTCTGCTTCTGATTACTAACACTACTGGGGTTCTCAGGATAGGAGGCATGTAAAAAAGGAGAGAGAAAAGATAAAATAAAAACAAATAAAAAAATTAAAAATACTACTGCTATTTTGCAGATGATCATATGCTTTGATATTTTTCATTCTGATGACCAGATACTTTCACAGATATTATCACTTTTTTTTTTTTTCTGAGATGGAGTTTCGCTCTTGTCACCCAGGCTGGAGTGCAATGGTGCAATCTCAGCTCACTGCAACCTCCACCTCCCAGGTTCAAGCGATTCTCCTGCCTCAGCCTCCCGAGTAGCTGGGATTACAGGCATGCACCACCACGCCCGGCTAATTTTGTATTTTCAGTAGAGATGGGGTTTCACCATGTTGGTCAGGCTGGTCGTAAACTTCTGACCTCAGGTGATCTGCCCGCCTCAGTCTCCCAAAGCGCTGGGATTACAGGCATGAGCCACTGTGCCTAGCCAGATATTATCACTCTTAATAACTATAACAAGATATGTGAATAGTGTTTTGCATTTATCAAGCAGCTTTCATTTGAGATTCTCATTGATTTGACTTCCATTTCTCTTTCAGGCACAGATAGTGAAACTGTCTTGTAATATGGTTAAGTGATTACTCTAGATGACAGTTTAATATTAGTAACAGGGCCAAGAGAAGAACCCATTTGCTATTAGGACACAAGTACCTGACCCATTGAGTGGCAGTGCCACTCATCTGGTAGCTATTTTGGTCAGCAGCCTGGGAAACTTGCACTGAGTTTCTGTAAAACACACTGGCAGGATTCCCAAGTTTCTGACTTGGGAGACTGAGCAGGTCAATGCCACAAATAGGAAGAAGGGCAATCTCATGAGAGAACATAAGTTTAGTTTTGGTAATGTTGTGCTCGGGCCTGAAAGACAGCCAGACAGTAAGGTACAGGAGACAGCTAATCTTCTGGATTTAGAGTTCAGCAGAGAGGTGAACCTGCTGAACCCTGAGGTGGGGGTCATCAATGGGTGAGTGATCGTGCAATGTGAGCAGATGAAACTGCTTCAGGAAAATACACAGAGTAAGAAGAGAGAAGGGCATACGGCAGAACTGCATTAAAAAAAATTCCAGGCCAGGCACGGTGGCTCATGCCTGTAATCCCAGCACTTTGGGAGGCTGAGGTGGGCGAATCATGAGCTCAGGAGTTCAAGACCATCCTGGCTAACACGGTGAAACCCTGTCTCTACTAAAAATACAAAAAAAAATTAGCCGGGCGTGGTGGCGGGCGCTGTAGTCCCAGCTACTCGGGAGGCTGAGGCAGGAGAATGGCGTAAACCCGGGAGGCAGAGCTTGCAGTGAGCTGAGATCACGCCACTGCACTCCAGCCTGGGCGACAGAGCGAGACTCTGTATCAAAAAAAAAAGAGAATACAAAGACAAAAGAGTTATATAATTTGCCCAGCACCACTCAGTTAATGGTGAAGCTGAGATTAAAATGTGAGCAGTCTGATTCAAAAGTCCGTAATTTTAACTGCTACGTCACTTTATTTCCCATGGATGTGAGCAATGAGTCTAGATTCTGATCTAGGTTCTAACTGACTCCAAAGACTTTTGTCAGTCTATGATACAATGTTGCCTCCTCAGTCCTAGGATGGTGCTTTTTGCTGTTTTGGGTTTGCTTTTTTTGTTGAGACAGGGTCTCCCTCTAGGCTGCAGTGGCACAATCATAGCTCACTGGAGCCTCAACCTCCCAGGCTTAAGCAATCTTCCCAGCTCAGCCTCCGGAGTAGCTGAGTCTACAGGCATGCACCACCATGGCTGGCTAAGTTTTTAAATTTTTTACAGAGATAGGGATCTTGCTGTGTTGCCCAGGCTGGTCTTGTATTCCTGGCCTCAAATTTCTAGTGATCTTCCTGCCTCAACTTCCCGAAGTGCTAGAATTATAGGCATGAACCACCACGCGCAGCCAAGTATACACACTTTAATACCAATTAGTTGATTAGCTCTTTTCCAATGTGATTACTGGCTGAGAATAAATTCTGATAAAAAAGCAAGATGAGCTTAGAGTTCCAGGTAGTTATACGAGGCCCTGACAGGGGATGACATGAGCGAGAACACACAATTATGCCTGTATTTGTGAGGTCTGATTTTTTTTTTAAATAGGAGGATACTAAACCCCAGTGACTCACTTGACAACTTTATCCAGAACCAAAATGTATTTAAAACACTGCAAATGGAGTAACTGCCAAAGAGAAAGCAGAAACCTTTAAGAATTATTGGATTCTACTCATTTCAAAACTCAAAGCTGATTATAGAGTTTTTGAGGATATAAAGAAAAAGAAACTCGGCTAGGCGCAGTGGCTCACGCCTGTCATCCCAGCACTTTGGGAGGTCGAGGCAGGCGGATCATCTGAGGTCAGGAGTTCGAGACCAGCCTGACCAACATGGAGAAACCCTATCTCTACTAAAAACACAAAACTGGCTGGGCGTGGTGGTGCATGACTGTAATCCCAGCTACTCGGGAGGCTGAGGCAGGAGAATCGCTTGAACCCGGGAGGCAGAGGCTGTGGTGAGCCGAGATCGTGCCACTGCAACACAGCCTGGGCAACAAGAGCGAAACTCTATCTTGAAAAAAAAAAAAAAAGAAAAAGAAAAAGAAACTCAACATTAATAAAGTTTATATTTTAAAAATTTAAGCTACAATCAAACTACCATTCATAAGCGTCAACAAGGTATCTATAAAGTAAAACTCAAAGGGTATTCTAAATATGACAATATTTTATAAATAGTTCTCGGATTGTCCTAGGATGCTAGGAGGAAAATTTAATGAGTCATTGTGTCCTCCTCCTCTTCCTCCTCATCATAGCACATACTAGGAGAGCTCTTCCTATTCTCTTAATGCTTTACATACCACACCAACCCTAGAGGTAGACAGATGCTACCTCATTTCACTGGTGAGGAAACTAAGGCACAAAGAGGTTAAGTATTTTGCCCAAGGTTACACAGCTAACACATGAAGGAGCTGAAAACTGAATCCAGGCAGTCTGGCTCTACCCTGAGCCACAGTACCTATTAACTACTCGTGTCGTAGCTAACATGAGTTAACTACTAACTCTTCTTTTCCCTAGTCACTTTTATGCCTGCTAGTTTTCACAGATACTTTGAGGATAAAGTCTCACTATCCTTACAAAGAAAGCACATTAATTCTTTCTTCCCATTATTAATTTGAAGTAAAGATAGTAATAACAAAAGTCTAAATTTAGGGAACAAGATGAAAATTCTAATTCAAAAAGAATCACAGGAAGAGCTGATTATTTTGTCTCAGGAAAGAGACGTTGATTCTAATTACACGAATCTTATCAAGCCTAAGCAATTAATTATCACTAGAACACACTGGCTTCTAGACAAAAGGATTTCCCACAGGGAAGTACTTTTAATGTCACTGAGCACATGGAGTTTCATCTTTTCATTCTTTTGTTGTTGTGAGATACAGTCTCACCCTGTCGCTCAGGCTGGAGCGCGGTGGCACGGTCTCAGCTCACTGCAGCCTCCGCCTCCCAGGTTCAAGTGATTCTCCTGCCTCAGCCACCTGAGTAGCTGGGATTACAGGTGCGCGCCACCACGCCCGGCTAATTTTTGTAATTTTAGTAGATACAGAGTTTCACCATGTTGGCCAGGCTGGTCTTAAACTGATCTCAAGTGATCTGCCCCACTTGGTCTACCAAAGTGCTGGGATTACAGGCGTGAGCCACTGTGCCTGGCCACCTTCTCATTCTGTAGAAACATTTCATGCATGAAAGTCAGAAATAAGTGAACATATTTTTGCCTTGGCTGTTTTTCTTCCTTTATCCTACCTACTTCTGAAAAAAACCAGCATGGTTTTAAAACCAAAACTAAGATTCAGAAGGAAAAGCTTCCTGGCTGTGGTTGGCTAAGACTGGTCCTCCAAGATGTCTACATTCTAATTCCTAGAACCTGGGAATGTTGCCTTTTATGACAAAAGTGACTTTGCAGGTGTGATTAAATTAAGGATTTTGAGATGGGGCGATTATACTGGATTGTCCATGTGGGCCCAGTATAATTGTAAGAGTCCTTAAGAGGGAGGTAGGAATGGTCATAAGGAGGGGGGTAGGCAGGAATGGTCCATAAGGAGAGAAAGGGATGTGAAAGCAGAGAGGGCTGGGCACGGTGGCTCATGTCTATAATCTCAGCACTTTGGGAGGCTAAGGCAGGAGGGTCACTTGAGACCAAGAATTCAATACCAGCCTGGGCAACATGGTGAAATCCTGTCTCTACAAAAAACACAAAAATTAGCCAGGTGTGGTTGCATGTGCCCGTAGCCCTAGCTACTTGGGAGGCTGAGGTGGAAGGATTGCTTGAACCCGGGAGGTCGAGGCTGCAGCGAGCCATGATTTTGTCATTGCATTCCAGCCTGGGTGACAGAGCGAGACCCCGTCTCAAAACACAAACAAACAAACAAAGGGGGCAGAGAGCTGGGTGCGGTGGCTCACGCCTGTAATCCCAGCACTTTGGGAGGCCAAGGTGGGCAGATCACAAGGTCAGGAGATTGAGACCACTGAGACCATCCTGGCTAACACGGTGAAACCCCGTCTCTACTAAAAAATAGAAAAAATTAGCCGGGCCTGGTGGCGGGCGCCTGTAGTCCCAGCTACTCGGGAGGCTGAGCCAGGAGAATGCTGTGAACCCGGGAGGCGGAGCTTGCAGTGAGCCAAGATCGCACCACCGCACTCCAGCCTGGGTGACAGAGCGAGACTCCGTCTCAAAAAAAAAAAGGGGGGGGCAGAGAGAGATTTGAAGGTGCTATGCTGTTGGCTCTCAAGATGGAGGAAGTGGCCAAGAGCCAAAGAATGCAGGAAACCTAGAGAAGCTGGAAAAGGCAAGGAAGTAGATTCTCTGTGGAGCGTCCAGAGGGTGTGTGGCCCTGCAGACACCTTGGTTTCAGCCCCGTGAAACTCATTTTGGACTTCGATCTCAAGAACTGTAAGATGATAAATCTGTGTTGTTTTAAGCCATTTAGTTTGTAGTTACTTGTTACAGCAACAATAGGAAAGTTTTAAGTTGACCTAATCTTTTGTTGCTGATTTGCTGTCCTACCCAGTGATTTATTCATTCCATTAACATCTATGGTCCATCAGACACGATGTGAAACGTTCTGTATATTAAAAAAATGAATTAAGTCACAGCTGCTCTCAGGAGTCCACAGACCAGTGGCCTTCATCTCCTCCCTGCCAATGCGACTGTTTCTTTTCAACAAGCGAGTCAGCCAATCTGGCAAAAAAAGGAGTTCTGCATACCTGGTCACGGATAAGCCCGTGATAGAGGATGCTCTGCATGTCCCTGCAAAGCCGCTCCAAGCCACCATACTTAGACCAGACGTTGGGGCTGTTGGTTGATACCAAACCCTCCACCGTCGTCTTCAAATTACCCAGCAACTGCCAGTGCTCCCTCCTGCAAGGGCATCAGTTACACCAATCGTTAGTTACCTTTGCTGTACTTGATCCTGATCATATCAAAGAAAGTCTAAGCCGAGGAGCCTCCTGCCCCACATCCTAACATTCTCTCCCCTCTTAATTTTTACTTGGGCACAAAACTCAACTCTGAGAGAATTAAAGTTGTGAACAATACTAATTTAAAGACAAAAAACAAACAGCAAAAACCCTCACATTCAAATGGTAGATTATGCTTTGTAAAGGGATTTTCATCTACTATCTCACTCAATCCTCACATAAGCAGCTTATAACCCTAACTTTATAGGGGTATAACCCATTCAGATCCATTTTTATTTTTTGAGACACTTAACTCTGTCACCCAGGCTGAAGTGTGGTGGCATGATCACAGCTCACTGTAGCCTCAACCTCCCAGGTAGAGGTGATCCTCCCACCTCAACCTCCCGAGTAGCTGGGAACTACAGATGTGCACCAACACACCCAGATAATTTTTAAATTTTTTGTAGAGATGGGGTCTCACTATGCTGCCCAACTCCTGGCCTCAAGTGATCCTCCCACCTCGGCCTCCCAGAGAGCTGGGATTACAGATGTAATCCACTGCACTCAGCCTAAGATCCATTTCTTAACAATGACAGTACCTGCACAATATACAAAAAGATGAAGGCATCCACACAGAACCAGACATCTTTTGCCAAACAAAAAAGGCCAAAAACAACTTCTTATTTCCTATATTTCCAAGCGCTAACTACAGCATCGTGAAGGACAGAAACTGTAGGACTAAGGCGGTCACTAAAATGTCATTTATGATTATACCGTAAGAAACGGCCATCGCAGAGGCCAATGGACTGCCAACTTTTGCCCAGTGACTCTGCATATCCTATGCCTCTTCCTCAGAGCAAACTAGCCTCTGATTTCTTAGTGACACAGTTTTCCCATGTGCCAACAGGTTACAATCCGGTCTCATAGGCCTGAGAATCAGTCTGACTCATGACGTGACTCTGCATACCTGTGTTCTGATTCATTCTGTACTGATCTTACAAGGTTAACTGTTAAAGAACATCATGAGGCTGGACGCAGTGGCTCACACCTGTAATCCCAGCAATTTGGGAGGCTGAGGCGGGTGGATCACCTGAGGTCAGGAGCTAGAAACCAGCCTGGCCAACATGGTGAAAACCCATCTCTACCAAAAAATACAAAAATTAGCCAGGCGTGGTGGCACATGCCTGTAATCCCAGCTACTCGGGAGACTGAGACAGGAGAATCGCTTGAACCTGGGAAGTGGAGGTTGCAGTGAGCTGAGATCATGCCATTGCACTCCAGCCTGGGCAACAAGTGTGAGATTGTCTCAAAAAAAAAAAAAAAAAAAAAAGAACATGATAAATCCCAAAAGCAAACATTAAGTACTCTATCATCCTAGGGCTTTGATTCCAAAATTACACAAAGAGCATTGACATCTTAGAAACTTTGAGCATTCAGATCTACCTATAATTTCCTCTGGACAAAGCTGAAGAATTTCCCTTCCTCACAATGAAGTGTCCCTAAGGTGCCAAAGCTACAAAAGAATGTGGCTTTTATTCTAAGATACACCAAACAATCTATATTTGGTATCTGCTCATGTAGAAGAAAACTTCTGTAAAAAATTGATTTACATAGCTACCGTATTTAGTGTCACCTTTTTAAAAAATTTTGATTGATACATAATTGTACATATTGATAGTATACAATGGATATATTGTGCATTGATCGCAACAAAGTAATTAGCATATCCATCACCTTAAATATTTATCATTTCCCTGTGATGAGAACATTCAAAAACCTCTCTTCCAGCTATTCTGAACTACACCATACACTGCTGTTAACCCTCGTCATCTTACTGTGCACCAGAATGTACTCCTTCTGTCTAACTGTCTGTCCCCTTGGCCCTGTTGACCGATCTCTCTCCATGCCCTTCTCCCGCCTTACTGTGCAACAGAGCACCAGAACGTACTCCTCCTGCCTAACTACAACCATGTACCTGTTGACCAATCTCTCTCCATGCCCTTCTCCCTCCTACCCTCCTCATCCTCTGGCAACCACTATTCCACTCTCTACCTCCATGAGAACAACTTTTTAGATTACCGAGTAATAGCATGTGACAGCTGTCTTTCTGTGCCTGGCTTATTGCCCTTAAGGTAACATCCTCCAGGTTCACCCATGTTGCCAAAACTGAAAGAATTAAGGTTGAAGTGTATTCCATAGTGTATACACACCCCATTATCTTTAGCCATTAATCTGTTGACGGACATTTTTTTTTTTTAAGACAGACTCTCACTCTGTCGCCCAGGCTGGAGTGCAGTGGCATAATCTTGGCTCACTGCAACCTCTGCCTCCCAGGTTCAAGCGATTCTCCTGCCTCAGCCTCCCGTGTAGCTGGGACTACAGGCGCAGGCTACCATGTCTGGCTAATTTTTGTATTTTTAGTTAGATGGGGTTTCTCCATGATGGCCAGACTGGTCTCAAACTCCTGGGCTCACATGATCTGTGCACCTCGGCCTCCCAAAGTGCTGGGATTACAGGAGTGAGCCACCGCGCCTGGCTGTTGATGGACATTTAAGTTGATTTCATACCTTGGCTATCATGAATAGCACTGCAATAAATAGAGGAGTGCAGGTATCGCTTTGATACACCGATTGTGTTTCCCCTGGATATATACTCAGTATTGGGATTGCTTGATCACACAGTAGTTCTATTTTTAACTTTTTGAGGAACCTCCAGACTGTGTCGCATAATGGCTGTACTAACTTACATTCCCACCAGCAGCGTGTAAGGGTTCCCTTTTCTCCCCATCCTCACCGACACCGGCTATCTTCTGATTTTTTTTTAATGTGCAGCGATTAGATTTGGTTTGCTAGTATTTTGTGAAGGATTTCTGTAGCTATACTCATCGGGGGTACTAGCCTGTAGTTTTTCCTCTTGTGCCCCTCTGTAGCTTTGGTATCATGATAATGTTGGCCTTGTAGAATGAGTTTGGAGGAATTCTCTCTCCTTCGATTTTGTGGAATAATTTGGGAAGAATTGGTATTAGTTCTTCCTTGAAGTTGTGGTAGAATTCGGCAGTGACAACATCGGGCCCTGGGCTTCTCTTTGATAGGAGACTCATTACCGATTCCATCTCATTACTCATTATTGGTGTGTCCAGGTTTTCTGTTTTGTCATGATTCAGTGTCGGTAAGCTGTATGTGTCCACAAATTTCTTCACTTCTTCTAGGTTTTCCAATTTGTTGGCACAGTTACCCATAACAGCCTCTAGTGATTCTTCATAGTTCTGTGCTGTCAGTTGCAATGTCTCCTTTTTCTCTCTGATTTTATTTATTTGAGTCTTTTTTCCCCCTTGGTCTAGCTAAAGGTTTGTTAATTTTATCTTCTGAAACAAACAACTCTTTTGTTAATCTTTTATATATATATTTTTTCATTCTCTATTTCATTTATTTCTGCTCTGATCTTTATTATTTCTTTCCTTCTACTAATTCTGGGTTTGGTTTGTCCTGGTTTTCTAGTTTCTTGAGGTGCAACATTAGGTTGAGCTCTTTCTACTTTTTGATATAGATGTTAATTGCTATTTTCTTCCCTCTTAGTACTACTTTTGCAGTATCCCACTGTTTTTGGTATGTTGTGTTTCCACTGTCATTTGTCTCAATAAATTTTCTAATTCCTTCTTAATTCTTCATTGACCAACTGGTTGTTCAGGAGCATGTTGTTTAATTTCCACATATTTGTATAGTTTCCTAAGTTGTTCTTGTTATTGATTTCTAGTTGTATTGCACTGTAGTCACAAAAGATACTTGAATGGCCGGGTGCGGTGGCTCATGCCTGTAATCCCAGCACTTTGGGAGTCCGAGGTGGGCGGATCACTTGAGGTCAGGAGGTCAAGACCAGCCTGGTCAACATGGCGAAACCCCATCTCTACTAAAAATACAAAAAAAAATTAGCCAGGTGTGGTGGTGCGTGCATGTAATCCCAGCTACACAGGAGGCTGAGGCAGGAGAATTGCTTGAACCCAGGAGGCAAAGGTGGAGCTGGGATTGCACCACTGCACTCCAGCCTGGGTGACAGAGTGAGACCCCATTTCAAAAAAAAAAAGAAAGAAAAAAGAAAAAATACTTGGTATGATTTCAGTTTTTAAAAGTTTGTTGAGACCTGTTTTGTGGCCTACCATATGATATCATATATCCTGGAGATGGTTCCATGTGCTGCTGAGAAGAATGTGTATCCTGCAGCTATTGAGTAGAATGTTCTGTAGATGTCTGTTAGGTCCATTTAGTCTAGGATATAGTTTAACACTGCTGTTTCTTTGTTGATTTTCTGTCTGCATGATCTGTCCATTGCTGAAAGTGGGGTATCAGAGTTTTCGACTGTTACTGTATCAGACTTTCTCTCCCCATCTAGGTCTACTAATATTCACTTTACATATTTAAGGTGCTCCCATGTTGGATGCATGCATGCATATATACAGGCATCCAACATGGGAGCACCTTAATATATAAACACACACACACACACAACTGTTATATCCTTTTGCTGAATTGACTCTTTATCATTACATAATGATATTGACTCTTTTCACAACTTTGGATTTGAAGTCTATTTTCTCTGATATAAGTATAGCTACTCCTGCTGTCTTTTGGTTTCCATTTGCATAGAGCATCTTTTTCCATCCCTTTAAGTCTATGTATGTCCTCACATGTGAAGTGAGATTCTTGGAAGCAGCATACGGTTGGGGCTTATTTGGAAGGTTTTTAAAAATTCATTGAGTCACTGTCTTTTATTTGGAGAATTTAACCCATTTACATTTAAGGTAATTATCGATAAGTAAGGTCTGTTACTTGTTTTCTAGTTTTTTTACAGTTCCTTTCTTTCTGTTACTGTCTTCTGTTGTGGCACTTGATTTTCTCTAGTAGTGTGCTTTGATTCCTTGCTTTTCAATTTTGGTGTGTCATAGGTTTTTGCTTTGTAGTCAGCATGAGGCTTACAAAACACATTTTGTAGTTATAAAAAGTTATTTTATTTATTTTTAATTTTCTTTTTTTTCTTGAGACATAGTCTCACTCTCACCCAGGCAGGACTGCAGTAGCATGATCTCAGCTCACTGCAACCACCATCTCCTGGGTTCACCCGATTCTCGTGCCTCAGCCTCCTGAGTAGTTGGAATTAGAGTTACAGGCACCTGCCACCACACCCAGCTAATATTTGTATTTTTAGTAGAGACGGGGTTTCACTATGTTGGCCAGGCCAGTCTCAAACTCTTGACCTCAAGTGACCTGCCCACCTCAGCCTCCCAAAGTGCTGGGATTACAGGTGTGAGCCACCATGCCAGGCCCATAAAAAGTTATTTTAAACTGACAGTGACTTAAGTTTGATCATAAAGATAGGAAAAGGAAGAAACAAACAAAACCTATACTTTAACTCCATTCCTCCCCAAATCTGGAATTTTTGAAGTCCCATTTTACATATTTTTATATTGCCTATCTCTTTAGTGTCTTCATCTTTTTAGGATCGTTTATCCTAATGATATAATTATCAATATCAGAGAGTTGAAATACTAAATTCAACTGAAGCTCATACACACTGGTTTGATTAAACCATTATGCCTGAATCTTAGATGCAAGTAAACAGATCACAATGGAGAAATAAAATATCCTTTCCCAGCCAGGCGCAGTGGCTCACGCCTGTAATCCCAGCACTTTGAGGGGCTGAGGCAGGCAGATCACCTGAGGTCAGGAGTTCGAGACCAACCTGACCAACATGGAAAAACCCCGTTCTCTACTAAAAAAATATAAAAATTAGCCAGGCGTGGTGGCACATGCCTGTAATCCCAGCTACTCGAGAGGCTGAGGCAGGAGAATTGCTTGAACCTGGGGGGCGGCCTAAGTGGCAAGGGAGAGTATAACCCATCCCTACATAAATCATTTTCATCAACTCACAACGAAGCCAATCTCAGAATAAAATACCAACTACCTTCTTCTGGGAGGATCTTGACCACATCCCTCCTTTAAAGAGGAACAGAAATTGCTTAAGTGACCCAAATAAGTATATCTGGGGAAAACCAGTTTTCCTAGATGCCAACTCAGTCTTAAGCTCACCATGTTATAATAAGTATGTTATAATAAGTAACACTCAAGATTAAAGTAAAAAGCTACAAAACTCTGTAAAGTATTACACTATATAACTAATACATAACTAAAACATAATCACTAAAAACATGACATGTGAGTATCTTATATGTGATATATATGAAATATATAATAAATAGTAAATAAGTGAAAGTACTATGCAATTGCAAAGTGTGATTCAAGGTAAGAAATAGATACTGGTCTATCTTCAATCCCCAAATACTCTTTTTAGTGGTAAAGGAAACAGCTTCAGCTTACTGGCATGTCCCTTCCACAGTGAGCTCTTTATCTGGGACAGGCCCATGGATCACAGCTGAAAGTCAGGTTGTCCCAAGTCAGGTAATGATTTGATCCCCAAAGTGGAGGAAGAAAGATGTGACATCCACATGATGGAATACCATGAAGAATGAAAACTTTTGACCAAAAAGTTTCTAAAGCTAATTATAGCATATTAAAGTATAAAAAGCAGAATGTAAAATTAGATTTACGATCTCAACATAAAAATATGAAAAGAAATAATACGTTAATAGTGGTTACCTTTAGTAATATGGGGGAACTGTAGAGAAGAGCAGAATTGTTTAGGGCTTTCCTGAGACTAGCGATTAATAGAGGATCAGTAGACTGGGTGTGGTGGCTCACGCCTGTAACCCCAGCACTTTGGGAGGCTGAGGCAGGTGCATTGCTTGAGCTCAGGAGTTCAAGACCAGCCTGGCCAACATGCAAAATCTCGTCTCTACAAAAAAACTAAAAAAATCCCTCCCCACAAAGAAAGGATCAATAATCTGAACAAACCAGAAGCTGGAAAGTACCATAAAGGATTTTTAAAATACTCAGTATCAAGGGCTTCGAAGTTGGAAGACTGTGGTCAGGCAAGTGTCCCTGGGACTTTTAATGCCAGAAAGTACTTCCTGGAAAGAGGTAATGGGTTCCTCCTTCAGGTAGAAAAAATATAATTAAGTGAAATAATTATTGGTAACACTGAGGTAGCGAGAGACTATCACATGTGTGTTTAATGTTTCTTCTTATCTGGCCATATATTTGCTGTTTTTAATTATCTAGTATTTAACTTGCAGGCTGTGTAGTTGAATGTGCTCCTTTTTACATAAATAATATGCTTTAAATAAATAACATGCTTATAGGAAAAACATACTTGACTCTCTTATATAGTCTCTCAGCTCTGGGGCACCTGGGAGAATGTAACCATCGGCCAGTCCCATACATTTCATGGCTGACAGGAGAATCTTTTTTTTTTTTTTTTTTTTTTTGTAGAGACCAGAGTCTTACTATGTTGCTGAGATTGGTCTCAAACTCTTGGGCTCAAGCAACCATCTGCCTCGGCCTCCTAAAGTGCTAGGATTACAGACGTGAGCCACTGCACGCAGCCAAAGGAGAATCTTAATGTACAGGAGGGAATAAGCAGTACCTGTAGGTATGCTTTGTAATTCGACACCTATTTAACACCTGAGTAACATCAAATGCATTGAATTTCAACAATCAGTGGATTTAACATACGGATGAAAAATCCCTTATGTCAGAAACCTAACCACCAACAAACTCCTTAGCATGGAGGTGAAAAATTCTCCATCATTGGCCCCAATCTAAATACCAACTTTGCTGCCCAGTACTCCTCAGGTTAGGTACGGGGACCTCATCACACACTATTACAAACATGCCAACCTCACTCTACTGCCATGATCTTATTCATGCAGAGCTCTCCACCTGGAATGCCTGTTCTCACCCCATTCAGGGATTCAGGTCCAGCTCTAATTCAACTTTCTCTAAAAAGGTTCTAAATAATCTGACCCACTATAGCTCCTTTATTAGAACTCCAAAAGCGTATGATGTCGCTATACCATTCCTTCTAAAAATACTTTAAGACTGTTGTTTAATATTACATAGCTTGTTTCCTGAAGGAAAGGGACTATGTATCTTCTATTTCTTTTGTATTTTATTTTATTTTATTTTTTATTTTTATTTTTATTTTTTGAGACGGAGTCTCGCTCTGTCGCCCAGGCTGGAGTGCAGTGGCGTGATCTCGGTTCACTGCAAGCTCTGCCTCCTGGGTTCACACCATTCTCCTGCCTCAGCCTCCCAGGTAGCTGGGACTACAGGTGCCCGCCACCATGCCTGGCTAATTTTTTGTATTTTTAGTAGAGACGGGGTTTCACTGTGTTAGCCAGGATGGTCTCGATCTCCTGACCTCGTGATCCACCCGCCTCGACCTCCCAAAGTGCTGGGATTACAGGCGTGAGCCACCGCGTCCAGCCTATTTTATTTCTGAGACAGAGTCTCGCTCTGTCACCCAGGCTGGAGGGCAGTGGTGCGATCTTGGCTCACTGCAACCTCTGCCTCCTGGGTTCAAGCGATTCTCCTGCCTCAGCCTCCTGAGTAGCTGGGGATTACAGGCACCCACCACCAAACCCAGCTAATTTTTGTATTTTTTAGTAGAGACGGGGTTTCACCATGTTGGTCAGGCTGGTCTCAAACTCCTGACCTCATGATCCGCCCGCCTCAGCCTCCCAAAGTGCTGGGATTACAGATCTTTTGTATTTTAATAAGCAGGAAGAAAATGTCACCCAGTAGAAAGAAAATAGACATCATAGTCATTTAAACTGAATTTGAATTTGAATCTTAGCTGCTCACAAACTAGATGCACATTCTATTTTTTTTTTTTTTTTTGAGACTGAGTTTTGCTCTGTCGCCCAGGCTGGAGGGCAGTGGTGCGATCTCAGCTCACTGCAACCTCCGCCTCCCGGGTTCAAATGATTCTCCTGCCTCAGCCTCCCAAGTAGCTGAGATTACAGGTGCCTGACACCATGCCCAGCTAATTTTTGTATTTTTAGTAGAAATGGGGTTTCACCATGTTGGCCAGGCTGGTCTCGAACTCTTGACTTCAAGTGATCTGCCTGCCTCAGCCTCCCAAAGTGCTGGGATTACAGGCGTGAGCCACCTCACCTGGCCTAGATCCACATTCTTGACCAAGCCATTTAAACTCTTGAAGCTTCAATTCCCTCACTGTAAAATGGAGACAACAATTGCTTCACAGAGGAGGGTGTAACTGACAATCTAGGGGAAGCATTATCATAGAGCAGAGAATAATATTCTCTTTTCTCTGCCATTTTCCCCCTGTGAACTTCCATTGCATAAATCTAATAAATCCAACAAAATCAGGAAGGGTACCTAGAATAAAGCCTTCTTACCCATTCTGCTTAAAAAGAAAATTCTGCCAAAAATTGTAAAGGATTGGACAGTCTGCAGCATAATGAAGTTTGGTTACAGTGTTCCACATCCAAACAGTATCTCCACTGCGTTTAAACCAAGGTCAGGTCTGCAGGTAAGCATGGATTGCAAGGCCCTGTTGATGCTGTTGGTCCTCTCACTGAAGTAGGAAAGCTAGGAAGGACTTCCTCAAATACTGGATATGACTTTTATATGGTAAAGACTTAAATCTGCTTGACGGAATGGAAGAAACTGTCAAGGTGTTACTGCGGCACAATAAGGCTGATTTCATGAGACATATAAGAAAGACAATCTTATTACTTCACCAGGCTCATGTTATACTGTCTAGGTAGCAGAATGCTTTACAAACAAGGTAAAGCAGGCACACAACACCACTTTAATAGCAATGGCACGGGAGGAAAGACAAAGTGTTTCAGTCTTTTCAGTTTCAGGTAGATGATTTAAAGGTAAAAGGCACGCTGGGCACAGCGGTACATGCCTGTAGTCCCAGCTCCTCAGGAGGCTGAAGCAGGAGGACTGCCTGACCTATGCTGGGCACAGTGGCACATGCCTGTAGTCCCAGCTCCTCAGGAGGCTGAAGCAGGAGGACTGCCTGACCTATGCTGGGCACAGTGGCACATGCCTGTAGTCCCAGCTCCTCAGGAGGCTGAGGCAGGAGGATTGCCTGACTTCAAAAGTTCAAGTCTAGCCTGGGCAACAATGTGAGAACCCTTCAAAAAACAAAAACAGCTGTGGGGAGAGGAAAAGCTTCAGGCTTAGAGTCCTTGCAGTCCCCTCCTGGGTTCTGACAACAGCAGCTTCCCCAAAAGCTTCAAGGGTATGTTTCTGTAATTTTTGTACTAAAAATCGAACTAGCAATTGCTAGTTTCCTTTAAAATCATGTGATCATCCTGCTTTGCTACTAGCTCTATGTAAACTGTTAACTCCTAGAATAATCAAACAGGGACGGGAAAGAAAGAAAACAGGAAATATAAAAACGTGAAAAAGTGAAAATGAATAGGAGAAATGCGAAGAAAGTGGCACTTCCAATGACAACAGTTCCACTAGCATCTGCCCATCTGTAAGAGGGATGACCACAACGTTAATGTCTTCATTCCTCAAACAAATATTCACTGAACACCAACTATATGTCAGGCACTGGGCTAGGCACTGGTGCTTAAAGAAGCGTTATAGCGGTTAAAGAGGAAGAGTCCCATCTGTCAGAGAATTCAGAACGTAATGGGGGAAATGGACACTTACATAACCATGCTATGAAGGGAGATGTCAGATGTGCTCTAACAGAGAGGGGTGCCTTCTAAAGGAGCGTCATTTAAGGGACGACTAAGAGCTCTCCAGGCAAAGAGGGAGGTATTGCAGTGAGTGTAGAAAAGCAAGAATGAGAATGGCAAGAAAGATGTGAGAGTGGGTGAGTGTGCCATGGTTTTGTAATTGGAAACTTCATTAAGTACTAACAGAAAGATTCAGGCCGGGCGCGGTGGCTCACGCCTGTAATCCCAGCACTTTGGGAGGCCGAGGCGGGCGGATCACGAGGTCAGGAGAATGGCGTGAACCCGGGAGGCGGAGCTTGCAGTGAGCCGAGATTGTGCTACTGCTTTCTGGCCTGGGCAACAGAGCGAGACTCCGTCTCAAAAAAAAAAAAAAAAGATTCAATACCAGGGTGAGGAGTTTTGACATGGAAAATATTCTGTTTTCAATGGGAAAACCACTGAACATTGCTTTTGTTTTTTTTGTTTTGTTTTGTTTGTTGTTTTTGAGACGGAGTCTCGCTCTGTCGCCCAGCCTGGAGTGCAGCGGCGCGATCTCGGCTCACTACAAGTTCTGCCTCCCGGGCTCACGCCATTCTCCTGCCTCAGCCTCCCAAGTAGCTGGGACTACAGGCGCCCGCCACCACGCCCGGCTAATTTTTTTGTATTTTTAGTAGAGACGGGGTTTCACCATGTTGGCCAGGATGGTCTCGATCTCCTGACCTTGTGATCCGCCTGCCTCGGCCTCCCAAAGTGCTGGGATTACAGGCGTGAGCCACCGCGTCCGGCCCCTGCTTTTGTTTTGTTCTGTTTTTTGAGACAGTCTCGATCTGTTGCCCAGGGTGGAGTGCAGTGGCATCACCTGGGCTCACTGCAACCTCCGCCTACCAGGTTCAAGCAATTCTCCTGCCTAGCCTCCTGAGTAGCTGGGATTACAGGGGTGCACAACCACATCTGGCTAATTTTTTGTATTTTTAGTAGAGACAGCATTTTGCCATGTTGACCAGGCTGGTCTTGAGCTCCTGACCTCAGGTGACCCACCCACCTCAGCCTCCCAAAGTGCTGGGATGACAGGCATGAGCCACCAAATCCAGCCAATCACTGAACATCCCTGAGTAAAATATTATAGTAGCTTTGTTTCTGAAAAATTAAACTAGTAGCAGGGTGAGCTGGGATGACAGGCATGAGCCACCAAATCCAGCCAATCACTGAACATCCCTGAGTAAAATATTATAGTAGCTTTGTTTCTGAAAAATTAAACTAGTAGCAGGGTGAGGCTATCTGGAATTGGGACTAAATTCAGGTTGGAAGATTAGTTAAGAAGCTACTGAGGTAATCCCCAAGAAGAGATTATATGGGTCTACAGTGAATAAACTTTATATCTGCCCAGAATTTGTCCCTTTATTTTGGTAAGAGAACCCTGATTTTCCACTGAGGAACCACCTCTCTACTACTTACTCTGGTCCATGAGGTTCCAAGATCTCACCCTCCCTTAGGATCCAGGGTTGGGCACATAACTTAGGCCTGACTAAGCAGAATAGCCCATACCCCGACCACAAGAACAGAAACATAACTCAAGTCAGTCCAAAAAGAGTCAGCCCCGGGATTTTTGCTTTTGCTGGAGCTGCTGGGACTGCATCTTTCTTGTTGCTGGTATTGCTAAGCTTGGAGTTGCTATGGTAACCTGTAGAATAGTCTACCTGAGAATGAAAACAACACATCTGGAAGCAGAGCCCAGAGACAGAGACAAATTCTTAATTTGAACACCCATATTTGGGCATTTCTGAAGCAACAGTACACCCTAGATTTTTTTTTTTTTTTTTTGAGAGAGAAAGTGGGACCAGGGGGCCATCACGAGTGTGGATGCTGTGCCAAGGCCCGGAGCTCTGGGAGCCCACACCATTTATTGATGATCAAACAAAGAAACAGGTGGTGAGGATGTGGGGGTTGAAAGGAAACAGTGTATCAAGTGAATGAGAAACATATGGCTGCTTGAGATAATGGGAGTGCTAGAAGCAAGGAGCCAGCAAGTCTAGCAGACATGCAAGCCCTGCATCAGCTTCTCTCCCAACACTCAGCTTTTCTCATTAAAATATCTTTTTTTTTCATATTTTAAAAGCATCTTTTTTTTTTTTTTTTTTTTTTTTTTTTTTACAGTTTCAACTATTTATTCAACACCTTAGTGAACATCTGCTCAGTGCGGGCATTATTATGTGTTAACTAGAGGTTTTTTGTTTTTGTTTTTGTTTTTATTGATCATTCTTGGGTGTTTCTCGCAGAGGGGGATTTGGCAGGGTCACAGGACAATAGTGGAGGGAAGGTCAGCAGATAAACAAGTGAACAAAGGTCTCCGGTTTTCCTAGGCAGAGGACCCTGCGGCCTTCCGCAGTGTTTGTGTCCCTGGGTACTTGAGATTAGGGAGTGGTGATGACTCTTAAGGAGCATGCTGCCTTCAAGCATCTGTTTAACAAAGCACATCTTGCACCACCCTCAATCCATTCAACCCTGAGTGGATACAGCACATGTTTCAGAGAGCACAGGGTTGGGGGTAACGTCACCGATCAACAGGATCCCAAGGCAGAAGAATTTTTCTTAGTACAGAACAAAATGAAAAGTCTCCCATGTCTACCTCTTTCCACACAGACACGGCAACCATCCGATTTCTCAATCTTTTCCCCACCTTTCCCCCGTTTCTATTCTACAAAACCGCCATTGTCATCATGGCCCGTTCTCAATGAGCTGTTGGGTACACCTCCCAGACGGGGTGGTGGCTGGGCAGAGGGGCTCCTCACTTCCCAGTAGGCGCGACCGGGCAGAGGCGCCCCTCACCTCCCGGATGGGGCGGCTGGCCGGGCGGGGCCTGACCCCCCCACCTCCCTCCCGGACGGGGCGGCTGGCCGGGCAGAGGGGCTCCTCACTTCCCAGTAGGGGCAGCCGGGCAGAGGCGCCCCTCACTTCCCGGATGGGGCGACTGGCCGGGCGGGGGGCTGACCCCCCCACCTCCCTCCCGGATGGGGCGGCTGGCCGGGCGGGGGGCTGACCCCCCCACCTCCCTCCGGGACAGGGCGGCTGGCCGGGCAGAGTGGCTCCTCACTTCCCAGTCACCCTAGATTTTTTAGTACTATAAGCCATTATATTTGGAAATGGAGAGAAAAAGAAGGCTTCAAAAGAAAAATTAGGAACAGAATTTTAGACCCTGGTGACTGCTTACATATGGGAAATAGAGAAGAGCGAAATGTCAAATGTCACTCTGACGCTCTGGCATGTTGAGTGAGTGGAAAATGCTATTAACAGAGATCAGAGGAGGGGCAGGTTTTGGTCAGTGGAATAAGCTTAGTTTGGAGATGCTAAAACGGATCTTACTCCTTGAATTCTGACTGTACCTGGATCACGGTGCCAGGAGCACTGAGCAGTACATGTACCTGAGCTGCAAGCTCAGCAGTAGACTGCATGGCCAAGGCAGTCTAGGGAGACAGTACACTGCATGGCCAAGGCGGTCTAGGGAGACAGAGCAATGCCAGAAAGACCATTCCTTTAGCAGTTTACCAGTCTAGTAGTTTGGGTATTTTTGAGACGAGTCTCACTCTGTCTCCCAGGCTGGAGTGCAGTGGCGTGATCTCGGCTCACTGCAAGCTCCGCCTCCCGGGTTCACGCCATTCTCCTGCCTCAACCTCCCCAGTAGCTGGGACTACAGGCGCCTGCCACCACGCCTGGCTAATTTTTTGTATTTTTAGTAGAGACGGGGTTTCACTGTGTTAGCCAGGATGGTCTCGATCTCCTGACCTCGTGATCCACCCACCTTGGCCTCCCAAAGTGTTGGGATTACAGGCGTGAGCCACCGTGCCCAGTGTAGTGTAGTAGTTTTACCAGGCAACCTCAAAATAACTGGCATTTAGGAAACGGAGGGAAAGTGAAGTATCATCCCTAAGCCCCAGAGCATCTGGCTGGAGTGATAGCTAGACGGAAAACAATAGGGAAGCCCATCACCTAAGCACACTACCGGGGAAGTGGGAAGCTAAGCCAACACTCTAGGTCCCAATGTGTTCAACTCGGATGAAGGAGCCACTGAAAGAGGAAGAACAAGTGATACCCTTGCAAACAGTCACTTGTGGGGGAGACCCTCGCCTTATTTCAAAAAAACTAGCAAGGGGTGGATTCGACATTTTTCCTACTTCCTACGTATCAGGCTCTCAGGAGCTTTATGCACATTGTTTTATTGAATCCTCAGAACTTCTCAGGCAGGAAAGCATTATTCTTCCTACTCAGGCAGGTTACGTAAAGTAACTTGATCAAGTTAAGCCAAATTAATCCGTGAACTAGGATTCAAATGCAGGTCTGACTTTAAAGCTTATTCACGTTTCATTATATCAACTACTTAAGGAAAATACACTGAAAAGTTTCATCCTTCATTTTTAAAATGACACTACCGGCTGGGCACAGTGGCTCATGCTTGTAATCCCAGTGCTCTGGGAGGCCAAGGCAGCAAGATCCCTTGAGGCCAGGAGTTTGAGACTGGCCTAGGCAACATGGTGAGACTCTGTCACTACAAAAAATCTGAAAAAATTAAAAATTAGCTGGGAGTGGTGGCACACACCTGTAGTCCTAGCTACTGAGGAGGCTGAGGTGGGAAGATCACCTGAGCCCAGGAGTTTGAGGCTGCAGTGAGCTACGATTGCACTATTGTACTCCAGCCTGAGTGACACAGTGAGACCCTATCTTTAAAATATATAAATAAATAAATAAAAATGATGCTATCTCATCAAGAAGACTGTTTCTGAACTGGGTATTTCATTGGCCATAGAAAGGTTATGTTTGCAGTAACCCAGTCACAAAGCCTCAATTAATAGGCACAAGGAATGTGTATTTACCAGTTGTGTATCTGGAGCTAAGGAGGCCATCAGTACCATGAAGCCTCATTAAACAACGCATTCTGAATTAATCAGCCGCCAACACAGTATGCCTATAACAATGACGGGAGTGACTTTGTGAGGATAACCCCACTACTAAAATTAAGTTTTGATTAAAGTTTTTTGGTTAAGAGGCAATCATAAAAAGAATAAAAGACGGGAAAAGATTCTGCAAAGGAGCTATCCTACTGGCCTGAATGACAGGCACAGAATGCTGTGAAATTTATTCACTATCTTATACTTCCGTTGTTACTATTAGCATAGTGAGAGGCAGCATAGGGTGAGTATTAAAAGTACAGACTCGGGCCGGGCACGGTGGTTCACGCTTGTAATCCCAGCACTTTGGGAGGCGGAGGCTGGTAGATCCTCTGAGGTCAGGAGTTTGAGACCAGCCTGGCCAACATGGCGAAACCCCGTCTCTACTAAAAATACAAAAAATTAGCTGGGCGTGGTGGCGGGCACCTGTAATCCCAGCTACTTGGGAGGCTGAGGCAGGAGAATTGTTTGAACCTGGGAGGCAGAGGTTGTAGTGAAGCAAGACGGTGCCACTGCACTCCAGCCTTGGCGACAGAGCAAGACTCTATCTCAAAAAAAAAAAAAAAAAAGTGCAGTCTCTTGGGCCGGCATGGTCGCTCATGCCTGTAACCTCAGCACTTTTGAGAGGCCGAGGCTGGAGAATATCTTGAGCCCAGGAGTTTGAGACCAGCCTAGGCAACATAGTGAGACCCTGTCTAAAAAAAGAAAAAAAAAAAAAAGCGCAGACTCTGGTGCCGAACTGCCTGGGTTTGAATCCAGTTCTGCCAGGGATTCGCTGTACAACCTTGGCAAGTTACTTACCCTGTCCATTTCTCAGCTTTCTCATCTGTGACACAGCAATAACAGTAGTACCGACCACATACAATAGTTATAGGGATTAAAGAAGTTAACGCAGTATTCATATCTTAATACCTTAAAACAATTCCTGGCATGTGGTAAATAGCATTTGTTACATACATTAAAAAAATAACTAACCCAGCCTCCCTCACATGAAGTGGTAGAGGGAAATCAAAACAATCCTAAAACGTGTTTAGAATTTACATGGGACCTTTCACACGAAGCACGTCACAGACATCTGCAGGAAGAATAAATAGTCAAATAGGCAAAGCAGAAACTGAAACATGGAAAAGGGAAGTAAGATGTTCAGTTTCACTTAGCACAAATCATTCTCAGATCTCAGGCAGGAGCCCCAAAGTCCTGTCAGTCCAGGTTTTGTTCAACAGGCCACTTTGCACATAAAAGTAGAGTCACCCTTAAAAATAGCAAGTCTTCACCCAGGAACATCTCATAAATCTTCCCTTGTTGATATTTTCTCAGAGGTAAATATTCTGCTTCTAGTTTTTGGATCCCAGCTGCTCCTGAGACCATCATTATATCTGAAACTGTTTCTAAATGTCAAGTGAGGTCAGGCCTGGTGGCTCACACCTGTTAATTCCAGCACTTTGGGAGGCCGACGTGGCGGGGGAGAATTGCTTGAGCCCAGGAGTTAGAGACCAGCCTGGGCAATATGGTGAGACCCTGTCTCTACAAAAAAGTTTTTTAAAGTAGCCAGATGTGGTAGCTGGCACCTATATCCCCAGCTACTTGGGAAGCTGAGCTAGTATAATCGCTTGAGCCCAAGAGTTGGAGGCTGCAGTGAGCCGTGTTCACGGCACTGCGCTCAGCCTGGGGGACAGGGTGAGGCTGTGTCTCAAAAAATAAAATAAAAATAAAATAATAAATGTCAAGTATGACTCCCTTAAGCCACATTCCTGCTCTCGCCTGTCAGCATTCCAGCCTCTTTAAAAAAGATTAAGACCAGAGTTATTAATGAAGCAAACCCTAAATATGGAAGGCATCTCTACAGACTCCGATTCATCATTTAGTCAAAGTAGTTCGGGGTTTCTTTGGCTTTTTGTTTTTTGAAGACAGGGTCTTCCTCTGTCACCCAGGCTGGAGTGTAGTGGTGCGATCTCGGCTCAATGCAGCCTCGACTTATTGGACTCAAGTGATCCTCTCGCCTCAGCCTCCCGAGTAGCTGGCACCACAGGTGAGCACCACCACGCCGAGCTAATTTTTGTATTTTTGTAGAGACGGGGATCTCCCTAGGTTACCCAGGCTGGTCTCAAACTCCTGGACTCAAGCGACCCGCCTCAGCCTCCCCCAAGGTGCTGGAATTACAGGTGTGAGGCACCGCACCCGGTCCAAAGTAGTTTTTATATTTTAAATCCCCCAATTTCTAGAAGATATGAGCTTTCTGACATGGTTCCATATAAATAAATGTGAACTTGCTTAGTTTGCATTGTGAGGAAAAAGGGACAGGTTTGAAGACGAAAAGGAAATGGCACAGAGGTCCTGCCACTCTCTGACAGGGATTCGGCAATGACAAAGTGCAGAGTTTCTGGTCTCATTAGCAGTCCCCGCCCCACCGCACTGCCATGACACTCGCTCACTTTCTCCCCAGGCTCTCCTCGCCTTCATCCCCATGCTCATCTCTGCCTAAGCTTCTTCCGAGGCCACTCATAACGCTTCACCTCTGCTCCCAGGAATTCTCACATCCTCTTCGCGTTGGCCCCACTTGCTGTCACGGCAAGTTTCAGTCCGGGTGGTGCCCTGCCCCTGTCTATAGACTCTGGCCTGTAAAACCTCACTGCACCCCTCTGGCCTCTTCGCCCAGTCTCTCAGCTGCCACCTCCTCTCCAGCAGTCTTGGATCTGAGCTTCACCCTCCTCTGCTGCCCTTGCCCTCCGCAAATCCCACCCACCCTCCTCACCCTAAGCCGGTTCCTTCGTCCCATCCCCGCCCCGCCCGTCCTTCCTCTGCGAAATGCTTCCCAAACAAGTCCTCCGCAGCCGTCGTCCTCAAGACTCGTCGCGCCCGGCCCTTCTCTCCGTGACCCCGCGCCCTCCCAAGCCTCCCGGGGCTCCGGCGCCTGTCGCTGCCCCGACTCCGCGGCGGCTCCCAGCCCACCTGCTCTCCTCAGGCAGGCGCTCCTCGCCGCCTCCGAGCTCCATTCCCGCGCCCTCCGGCCGCATCCGGGGCGGTGAGGCCGCCTCTTCGCCCAAGAGAGGCGTCCCTGCCGCTTCGCCCTTCAGGGCTCCCGGGGCCCCCTGGGGCCGGAGGAGGCACCTGCGGCCGGTGGGCTCCGGGTGATGCGCTACACCCGGGCGGCGACAGCGGGAGGGACCGCCGCCTGGGCTGCGGCTTCTATCCCGGCCACCCCCACTTCCGGCTCCGGGGACTACAGCCCCCGGCGAGCACTCCGAGGCTAGGCCGCTCCCGCAGGACGCGTCCTCCAATCCCAGGCCGCGCTCGCAGACCGCGCCCCTCCAACGGCAGGCCGCTCCCGCAAGCCGCGCCCTCCAATCCCAGGCCGCTCCCGCAGGCCGCGCCCTCCAATCCCAGGCCGCGCTCGTGGATTACTACGCACCCGGTGGTTGGCTGGGCCGGCTTGCAAGCGGCGGGGGACCTTGGTCTCAGGAATCCGTGCCGGGGCGTATCCTTATTCACCCCCGTGACATTACACGCTGGGGACCGAACTCAGTCCGAGATGTAGACTAGGCAATAACGCTAATCTAATCCCGGTACGATTAACCCCACTCAGCCCGCCCTGGCTTAATGTCCGCTGGTGGTGTTTGGAGACCTCGAGCATTTAAATGAAGCGCTCACAAACAAGAGCACAGGTTGCTTTGGGATCATAAAAGAGCAGGAGAGAAAGGCTTCTGGGGGCTCTCGGAAGATGGATGTCAACGCAGAGTTTTCAAGGCTGAGTACGGGTTAGCCAGGAGAAAGAAGAGAAGGTGGAGAGAGCAACACGGCAGATACAAGGAAGGAAGTGCTGGCTTGGGAACTGCAGGTGCTGGGTAGCCAGAGCTGGGAAGGAGTGAGCAGCAGCATGGTGTGGGCATTCTGGTGTGGGGAAACCAGATCATGAAATGCCATTTTAAGGAGTTTGGATTTTATCCTGAAAACAATCAGCAAATCAAGCATATGCAAATCAAGAAGTGATTTGATCGAATCTGATGAGAAAGCCACTTTTGACAATGTGGACAGGAGATGGGGCAGATATAATACTATATTGAGGTAACGGTGGAAGGCTAGATAGGAGACTGGTCATCCTTATGGGGGATAACCAAGTAATGCTAAGAAGTGAAGCGAACCAGTTGAAAGAAACGTGGGCCTAGGGTTGCCAGATACTCTGGTTTCTCTTTTTTCTTTTTCAAAGACGGGGTCTCTCTCTGTCGCCCAGGCTGGGGTGCAGTGGCGCAATCATAGCTCCCTGCAGCCTGGAACTCCTGGGCTCAAGCAGTCCTCCTTCCTCAGCCTCCTGAATAGCTGGGACTACAGGTGCGAGCCACCACACCTAGCTATGATATTTTGATTTTTTAAAAGAAGCTAGGATCTGCATTTTTAAGCACTACTTCCAAATTTTTAAACGTTGGCAACAAATTTTTTAAACTTTCAACTTTGCACAGGCCAAACACAGCTTGTCTGTAGGCTGAAGGTGGCCCTTGAGTTGCTAGTTTGCAAACCCAGGCTTAAACTACAGCAGCGGTTGAAGAGAACAAGGAGGCTCAGATTACAGCAATGTGAAGGCAACAGAATCAGCACTACTCTATAAAGGACTGACTGTGGCAAGTGAGGGAGAAAGAGCGATCAAGAATAACTCCGTGAAAAACTAATGACTCTATATTAAAATAATATATGGCTTTTAGGTATTTTCAAACTTGACAAAAGTGTTTTGGCAATTAAAAATGAAATGAAAGAGCCTCTTGAAGCCATTTATGATTTCATTTAGGTTAAAAAAATACTCTCTTTCAAACTTTCTCATTTTCCTACTAAACGATTATACTTCTTTAAGAAAGGGGCAATATTACTCATTGGGATTTCTCTTCCTTCTGTGACTTTCTTCTCTTTTGGAGACGCAGTCTTGCTCTGTCACCCAGGCTGGGGTGCAGTAGCGCTGCCACAGTTCACTGCAGCCTCAACCTCCTCAAGCGGATCCTCTCACCTCAGCTTCCCAAGTAGCTGGGACCACAGGCAGTGCCACTATGCCCAGCTAATTTGTTTTTTTTTTTTTAATTTTTGGTAGAGACAGGGTCTCACTGTGCTGCCTAAGCTGGTCTCAAATTCCTGGGCTCAAGCAGTCCTCCTGCCTCAGTCACCCAAAAAGTATTGGGATTACAGGCATGAGGCACCATACCTGGCCTTACTTCTAGTTCTATAAATGTATGAACTTTATTTTTTGGCATACAGTATAATCCCAAATTAACACTATATTATTTATTTATTTATTTTTGAGACAGAGTTTCACTCTTGTTGGCTAGACTGGAGTGCAATGGCGCGATCGGGTTCAAGCGATTCTCCTGCCTCAGCCTCCTGAGCAGCTGGGATTACAGGCATCCGCCACCACGCCCGGCTAATTTTGTATTTTTTAGTAGGGACAAGGTTTCTCCATGTTGGTCAGGCCGGTCTTGAACTCCCGACCTCAGGTGATCCGCCGGCTTCGGCCTCCCAAAGTGCTGGGATTACAGGCGTACTAAAAAATACAAAAAAATTAGCCGGGCATGGTGGCAGACGCCTGTAATCCCAGCTACTCAGGAGGCTGAGGCAGGAGAATGGCTTGAACCCAGGAGGCAGGGCTTGCAGTGAGCCGAGATCGTGCTACTGCACTCCAGCCTGGGCGATAAGAGCAAGACTTCGTCTGAAAAAAGAAAAAAAAAAAAAGGCCGGGCGTGGTGGCTCATGCCTGTAATCCCAGCACTTTGGGAGGTCAAGGCGGGCAGATCACGAGGTCAGGAGATGGAGACTATCCTGGCTGACACGGTGAAACCCCGTCTCTACTAAAAATACAACAAAAAATTAGCCGGGCGTGGTGGCGGGCGCCTGTAGTCCCAGCTACTCCGGAGGCTGAGGCAGGAGAATGGCGTGATGAACCCGGGAGGCGGAGCTTGCAGTGAGCAGAGATCACGCCACTGCACTCCAGCCTGGAAGACAGAGCTAGACCTGGGCGACAGAGGGAGACTCCGTTTCAAAAAAAAAGGCAATCAGCTTTATCAGGAAATCCTAGGGGCCAGAAGCGGTGGCTCACGCCTGTAATCTCAACACTGGGAGGCCCAGGCAGGCGGGTCACTTGACACCAGGAGTTCGAAACCAGCCTGGCCAACATAGTGAAACTCTGTCTCTACTAAAAATACAAAGAAAAAATAGTCGGGTGTAGTGGCACACGCCTGTAATCCCAGCTACTTGGGTGGCTGAGGCATGAGAATCGTTTGAACCCGTGAGGTAGAGGTTGCAGTGAGCTGAGATTGTACCACTGCACTCCACCCTGGGTGACAGAGTGAGACTGTCTTGGGGAGAAAAAAAAGAAATCCAAAAACTAAAATTGTAGCAAAAAGGCTGGAAAACAGGCTTTTTCTCATATGTCCAAGTTCAAGTTACATGTACTGGATTTTCTTTAAAGCCATTAATAAACATGACAATAATCTGCACTAGCCATGCGTTACCTATCCCATCCCTCTACTTTCCCTCATAATCCTGAACCCCTTCTTTTGTTTTTTTTTCTTTTGAGATGGAGTCTCGCTCTGTCACTCAGGCTGGATCATGGATCCACTGAAAATACAAAATACAAAAAATTAGCTGGGAATGGTGGCAGACGCCTGTAATCCCAGCTACTCGGGAGGCTGAGCCAGGAGAATCTCTTTAACCTGGGAGGCGGAGGTTGCAGTGAGCTGAGGTCATGCCATTGCACTCCATCCTGGGCAACAAGGCAAGACTCCATCTTAAAAAAAAAGAAAAAGAAAAAGAAATTTTGTAGTATAATTGGCAAAATTTGAACATGAACCATAATTGGATAATAGTACAGCATCAATGTTAAATTTTCTAAACTTGGTAATTTTAGCATGGTTATGTTAAGGAATATCCCTAGAAATATATTCTCTTTCTTTTTTTTTTGAGACAGAGTCTTGCTGTGTTGCCCAGGCTGGAGTGCAGTGGCACAATCTCAGCTCACTGCAACCTGTGCCTCCTGGGTTCAAGCAATTCTCCTGCCTCAGCCTCCCGAGTAGCTGGGATTACAGGTGCCCAACACCACGCCCAGTTAGTTTTTATATTTTTAGTAGAGACGGGGTTTCATCATGTTGGCCAGGCTGGTCTCGAACTTCTGACCTCAAGTGACCTGCCCACCTCAGCCTCCCAAAGTGCTGGGATTACACGTGTGAGCCACTGCACACAGCCCTTAGAAATAGATTCTAAAGAGTCATAATTCCTGCAACTTTCTCTCAAATTGTCTAACAACAACTAATACCTCTATACAGAGAGAAAGCAAATGTGGCAAAACATTAATTGGCGAAGTAGAGGATATATGGGTATTCATTGCACTATTTTTGCAACTTTTCTCTACATTTGCAAGTTTAAAAAATAGTCAAGGTTCTGCTTTCATGGGGACCTAAAAAAATAGTCAATGATCTTAGTATGGTTTTGTTTTCTTATGACTGTATCCTGCTAAATATAACAAAAATTTTAGTGTTTCACATGGAAATTTTTAATCTTGTAATGATTAACTTTAAAGACAGTTTAAAATTAATTTATGTTTTCCCCATAGGTAGCATTTCTAAAAGTCTTTTAAGCCAATTTTGCCAAATGACCAATTCACTGACTTTACCAAATTTACTGATTTACCAAAATTCTTTTTCTGTTAGGCATATATAAAGCTTATAGTAGTTCATCTGATGAGATGATTTTAAAAGCTTTTGAAGAATTTTGCCAAGTTTTAATTACTTAGCTTTTATTCTGTCTTTATAGCAACATTTCCATCCCCTCTAAGCACTTAGTAGTGGTTCATTTATTCAATTATATAGGAACTGGCTGGGCACAGTGGCTCATGCCTGTAATCCCAGCACCTTGGGAGGCCGAGGTGGGAGGATCACTTGAGGTCAGGAGTTCAAGAACAGCCTGGCTAACATGGTGAAATCCTGTCTCTACTAAAAATTCGCCAGGCATGGTGGTGGGCGCCTGTAATCCCAGCTACCTGGGAGGCTGAGGCAGGAGAATCCCTTGAACCCAGGAGGTGGACATTGCAGTGAGCTGAGATCGCACCACTGCACTCCAGAGATTGCACCACTGCAACAGAGCAAGACTCCATCTCAAAAAAAAAAAACCCCAAAAAACTATATAGGAACACTTGCCAGCCACGAACGGTGGATAAAAATGTGTGCTTTTTCTTTTTTTTTGAGACGGAGTCTCGCTTTGTCACCCAGGCTGGAGTGCAGTGGCGCAATCTTGGCTCACTGCAACCTCTGCCTCCCAGGTTCAAGCGATTCTCCTGCCTCAGCCTCCTGAGTAGCTAAAATTACGGGCGCCCGCTGCCGCCTGGCTAATTTTTTGTATTTTTAGTAGAGACGGGGTTTCACTGTGTTAGCCAGGATGGTTTCGATCTCCTGACCTCATGATCTGCCCACCTCGGCCTCCCAAAGAAAATGTGCAATTTTTAATGTTAAAATGAAAATTTTAAAAATCTTATTTCTAAGCTGAGTGCAGTGGCTCACGCCTGTAATAGCAGCACTTTAGGAGGCCGAGGTGGGCGGATCGCTTGAGGTCAGAAGTTCGAGGCCAGCCTGGCCAGCATGGTGAAACCCCATCTCTACTAAAAATACAAAAATCAGCTGGGCTTGGTGGCGGACGCCTGTAATCCCAGCCACTTGGGAGGCTGAGGCAGGAGAATCACCTGAACCTGGGAAGCGGAGGTTTCAGTGAGCCGAGATCCCACCACTGCACTCCAGCCTGGGTGACAAAGTGAGACTGTCTCAAAAAAAAAAAATCTTATTTCTAGACTGAGCAAATCCTTAACATAGTTGACGAATGTTCGTTTTGTCCCTGCCCCAGCTTCCTGCAACTCTCGCTGAGTAAAGCTGCACAGAAGGGACCCTCCACTGCATGAAGAGGGTCAGAGCTTGAGTGGCTGCTATGTGCAAGACGCTGTGCTTTAGTTAGTCTCCCCCAGCCTGGGCTCCTCATCCCAGAGCAGGGAACCTGCGGGGCACAGAGAGAAGAAGCCTGGGAGAAGGAGGAATGCCTGAAGACCCGCGACCCAAGAATCCTGGCTCCCTGAGCCTTCCTGGACTACAAATCCATCCAGTACAAATTGAGGATATCTTCGAAAAACAAACAGTTTTATGTAAATGGGTGGAATTTTGCACTTTATGTAAATTTGTTTAGCTTTGGAAAATGCCACAGTTGGTCATTCAGTGAGTCAATCTAGAACCCCTGGTGGTCAAGACTCCTGCCTTCCCTAGGGAGGGCAAGGCCTAATAAGCTGAGAGGTCCCACCCCTGAGTCCAGGAAGAATTCCCCTTCAAGTTCCCTTGTCCACCCAGAGCAGATTCCCTAGTCACACAGAACTGATGCTCAGGGACTTAGTGGCCAGTAGTGCTCCTTTAAACTTGCTAGCTGAGGCGGGCAGGCTCCTCCGGAGCTCTTGAGTTTCTTAAGGGCAGCAGCTATGCCTGCAACCCCGTCTGTCATGTTCTCTGCAGTATCCCCAGCCTCTAGCACAGTGTCTTGAGTTTCTTAAGGGCAGCAGCTATGCCTGCCACCCCGTCTGTCATGTTCTCTGCGGTATCCCCAGCCTCTAGCACAGTGTCTTGAGTTTCTTAAGGGCAGCAGCTATGCCTGCAACCCCGTCTGTCATGTTCTCTGCGGTATCCCCAGCCTCTAGCACAGTGTCTTGCACATAGGAGGACCTCGAACTCTGTTGAATGAACGAATAAATGAACAAACAAATTTTGAGATTAAAAGGCAGAAGACTAGAACAGGAAAAGTTTACAACAAAGGAAAAGGGCAACACAGAAGAGGGACAGAAAGCTACAGCAAAGTGGCAAAGAAAAGCTACTGCAGCAGAAGACAGCAGCAGACAGGTAGAATGGAAAAAATTGAACAGAAAAGAGAAGAAAACCTGTAGTGTATATATAAGTAGTTTAAGGGTGCTACGAATTAGCTATTGTTTATTAATAACTAATATTGGCCAGGCGCGGTGGCTCACGCCTGTAATCCCAAAACTTTGGGAGGCCGAGGTGGGTGGATCACGAGGTCAGGAGTTCAAGACCAGCCTGACCAACATGGTGAAACCCCGTCTCTACTAAAAATACAAAAATTAGCCGGGCGTGGTGGCGAGCGCCTGTAATCCCAGCTACTTGGGAGGCTGAGGCAGGAGAATTGCTTGAACCCGGGAGGCGGAGGTTGCAGTGAGTCAAGATTGCGCCACTGGACTCCAGCCTGGGTGACAGAGTGAGACTCTGTCTAAAAAATAAATAAATAAAAAATAACTAATATTAGCTAATAATTAGTTATTATACCTAATACATATTATCTATATATCATATAATATAAATTATACCATACTTCTTTAATATACCAGTATAATACATATTACATCAATATGATTTCTAGATATCCTCTTTTGAAAAGCAAAAGAGTTAACATAAGAAACAGACAAATGAATTACAAGAAAAGGAAATTACATACCAGTGTCACTCATGAAAAGACAAAATTCTTGGCAAAATATTAGCAAGTCAAATCCAACAACATGTAAAAAGGATAATATACCATGACCAAGTAGGTTTATCCCAAAAATGCAATATTTGGAACATCAACATTCAAAAACAAAATCAACATTCAAAATTTGATAGCCAATGTAATTCGCCATATTAATACATTTTGCAAGAAAAACCTTTTGATAATCTCTAGATACAGAAAAAGCATCAGATAAAACTCAGCATTTATTCATGATTAACTCTCAGCAAATCAGGAGTAGAAGGGAACTTCCTCAACCTAAAAAAAGGCATTTTTAAAAATTAGCATCATACTTAATGTTGAAAGACTGAACGCTTTCCCTCTGGGGTTGGGAACAAGGCAAAGATGTTCACTTTCACTACTCCAATTAAACATGATACTAGAGTCCCTAGTCAGTGCAATAAGGCAAGAAAAAGAAAAGGCATACAAATAAAAAACAGTTATGCTATGTGAAATAATCCAGTTAAAAAGTATATACTGTATGATTCCATTTATTAAAAATACTAGAAAATGCAAATTAATCTACAGCAACAGAAAACAGATCAGTAGTTGCCTAGATAGTAGGTGGGGGGTAAGGATTACAAAGGTGAGCAAGAAAACTTTAGAAAATAATGAATATATAATAATATTTATTCAGATTATCGTAGTGTTTTCACAGGTATATATCCTGTACACCTGTATAAACTGCATACTTTCAGTATGTGTCTTTTATTATCAAATATATCTCAAAACTAAGAAAAGGGGGATTTAGGCTGGGCACGGTGGCTTCACACCTGTAATCCCAGCACTTTGGGAGGCCGAGGTGGGCAGATCACAAAGTCAAGAGATCGAGACCATCCTGGCCAACATGGTGAAACCCCATCTCTATTAAAAATATAAAATTTAGCCAGGCGTGGTGGCACGCACCTGTAGTCCCAGCTACTCAGGAGGCTGAGGCAGGAGAATTGCTTGAACCCGGGAGGCGGAGGTTGCAGTGAGCCGAGATCACGCCATTGCACTCCAGCCTGGGCAACAGAGAGAGATGCTGTCTCAAAAAAAAAAAAAGAAAGAAAAGAAAAGGGGGATTTAAAAGGCAAATCAAGCCAGGTGCAGTGGCTCACACCTGTAATCCCAGCACTTTGGGAGGCTGAGGCGGGCGGATTACCTGAGGTCGGGAGTTCGAGACCAGCCTGACCAACATGGTGAAACACTGTCTCTACTAAAAATACAAAATTAGCTCAGCATGGTGGCGCATGCCTGAAATCCCAGCTACTTGGGAGGCTAAGGCAGGAGAATTTCTTGAATCCGGGAGGCAGAGGTTGTGGTGAGGTGAGATCATGCCACTGCACTCCAGCCTGGGCAAAAAGAGTGAAAATCCATCTCAAAAAAAAAAAGGCAAATCAAACTGATAAAAAGTTAAGGGGTGAAGTGTGTAAGAGTTTACTACCTTTGAAGAAACATAGATTTCTGTGCACATTATGAAAAAGGAGCCAGAAAGTGTTAACAGAAAACTATGAGGTTGAGCTGGGCGCGGTGGCTCACACCTGTAATGCCAGCACTTTGGGAGTCTGAGTCGGGTGGATCACCTGAGGTCAGGAGTTCGAGACCAGCCTGGCCAACATAGTGAAATGCTGTCTCCACTAAAAATACAAAAATTAGCTGGGCGTGGTGCCATGCACCTGTAATCTCAGCTATAGGGGAGGTTGAGGAAAAGAATAGCTTAAACCCGGGAGGCGGAGGTTGCAGTGAGATCATGCCACTGCACTCCAGCCTGGGCAACAGAGTGAGACTCTGTCTCAAAAAAGGAAAGAAAGAAAGAAAAGTATGAGGTTGAGAAGGTTGCCAGATTTAGCAAATAAAATAAAAGACTCCCAGTTAAACCTGAATTTCAGTTAAACAAATGTCAACCTTCAATAATGAGATTCAGAAAATATGACTAAGTATAAAGTTTACTGCAGCACAAAGCTTGAGGATAGCCATCGCGAAACATGATTCCAAAGGAATGGGGTCAGTGCTCCAAAGTGAGGAGGCCAAGATTTCACTTATATAGGCAGAAACAGTTGTAACAATTTGATTAGTTTAACTTGCTACATTCCAAGGAAGATTCCTTTAATATTCTGTGAGGAGGTGTAATGTTCTCAGGGGTCTTATCTCTGGCACGCCTCAATCATTCCAGATCACTTACAGGAAAAAGCAGAAGTTACAACTACATGCTGCTTGACTCATGCCATATAGCCATGTCCCTCTCAAAGCTCAGAATAATTTAAAGTTTCAACAGCTTTAAGTTTGAATTATTTTATTTCACACAATGAAATGATTCTCTGTTGTAAATATATCCTAAATATTACATGAAACTTACTGTAGTTAAAAAAAAATCACTGTTTATCTGAAACGTGGGACATATTTGTACTAAACAATTGTCCGTTGTTTATCTGAAATTCAAATTTAGCTGGCCCTGCATTTTATCTGGCAATCCTGGAGGTTGTTTTATCTACATTGTGTGAAACGAAGTCTTTTAAAAGGGCAACTGCTTGGATCCCATGTTTATTTTGACTTAGGCGAAGCTGTGGAACTGCTGTACACCAACAAAGGCTGAATGCCCACGTCCAGTCCAGGGCCTTGTTCACAGCAGGTGCTGAGATATTCTTTGCTCTTCAAGCTGTGTGAAGATAGGGTGTGCATCCGTCTTGCTCACTTTTTTTTTTTTTAATCCCCAGGGCCTATTACAGTGCCTGATGCTCAATGAATATATGATTAAATGAATAGCTACCTCTCCTGCCCCAGAAAATTGCAGGGTTGACCTTTTAACCCTGGCCCTTGTGGTTGGCTGATGGACTTCTTGGACAGGACCCAGTTCCGATTTCTTGGCTTGTCTTCCTCTTTATTTTTACTGTGTGTGTCTCGGGTTGCTATTTTCTGTTTTGTGTATGAAAAGACCTGCCATTACCCACAATGCTTCACTCTTGCTTTCTTGCCTTTCCCTCTGGAATCTGGGGATGGCTCCTAGGCCCCAAGACTCTCAGCCCTTGGGGAAACCTGAAAGTCTGAAACACAACAGCTAGGACTGTTTAATCAAATACTGCAGCATGGCCTTTTGCACTATAGAGACTGGGGATAAGGCTTTGGTTTGGGGGAGAAGATCAGGATAAAAGAGAATCTTTTTTTTTTTTTTAAGACAGGGTCTCACGATGTCGCCCAGGCTGGTCTCGTACTCCTGGGCTCAAGTGATCCACCTGCCTCGGCCTCCCAAAGTGCTGGGATTACAAGCGTGAGCCACTGCACCAGGTCGAGAATCTTTATTATATTAGTGGTAGGGAGGATTTTATACATTTGGGATTTTTATCTGTCCTATAAATACCTGAAGTACAAAATGCCTCCAAACTCTAATTGCATTAATTTTCTTCCATAAAATTAAGAACTTAACCTAAGGATCCTCTCTGTAGTTTACTCTCACAAATGAGCAGAGATGGTAGAAGTTATTTCTAGTGACAGAAGGTGAATGTGGAGAAAAATGACTTGTGCTTAGAGGATTTTAAATATACTTTTCATACTCACTATTCTTACTCCTTTTTCTGGTTTTGAAGATGGGTATGAGGTCCAGAGACTCTCCCAAAATCATACAGTGAATAACTAAAGTCAGTGAAAAAGTTATCACTCAATAAAACTCAGGTCTGGGCCCACAACCCAGTTTCTGTAGTTTTTTTTTTTTTTTTATTTGAGATGGAGTCTTGCTGTGTCACCCAGGCTGGAGTGCAATGGCACGATCTCAGCTCACTGCAACCTCCGCCTCCCGGGTTCAAGCGATTCTCCTGCCTCAGCCTCCCAAGTAGCTGAGATTACAGGTGCCCACCATCATGCCCGGCTAATTTTTTTATTTTTTTATTTATTTTTATTTTTTAGTAGGGGTTTCACCATGTTGGTCAGGCTGGTCTCAAACTCCTGACCTCAGGTGATCCGCCTGCCTCGGCCTCCCAAAGTGCTGGGATGACAGGCGTGAGCCAGTTTCTCTAGTTTTTAGCAGTCCAGACAAATGAAGGGGCTTCAGGGTGAGAGAGTAGTAAAATCAAGCACATTATGCTAAGGACATACATGATATTCTCCTTGACATGCCAAATATTGTTCTTGAGTTTCCGAGTCCAAACTTTCCTCCACTATTAAAGTTTCTTGTGCCCCTTGATAGGTGTGTGGTTCACTCTTCCTATATTGTTATGTCCTTGTCATGATAAAAAAAAAGAGACATCTTAACCTTTGAGAATAAGAAGTTATTTAGAATATTCCCAAAAGCCTAACAAAAATCATACATTTCCCCAAGATAAGACTACTAGGCTTACAAAAAAGTCATGGTTCTTTGAGTTCAGCTGGAAACATAATCTGTGTGAAGACTCCTGGTTTTATCCATGCTACATATACAGGAAACGTTCACATTTACTTTTATTGTTAAGGTGACCGCAAAATTGTCACTGCAAGCTTTGCTTTAAATTCAGGCCTGGAAAGGGGAGCTGGAACAGCTGGCTTTAATTTTTAAGTGTGACATGCATAAGAAATATTTTAAAACATGGGATCCCCAAGCAAAAAATAGTAAATGTGTCATTGGTGTTGAAGTTGGAAGCCACATGACATTGTGACATGACTAAATTAAGCAAAGGCTACTGTGGTTTTGAGATGGCTGGTTTCCATGCTAAAGGAATTTTTGCATTTTATGAATTGGAGAGGAGAAAGGCGACAGAGATTTCTAGGTGGACAGAATGCATCTGGTATTGTCCTTAGATGTAAATATCCGAGATAGTTTTAAGCTGTATGAGGGTGATATAACCTAAACGCTTCCACATAAACGCAGTTACTTCAGGGAAGGAGAATGAGGTAAGAAGAGAGGTAAATACCGTATGTTGTAAACGGAAAAAAGTTATCATGCAGGAATTCATCAAATATTAAACTGTTTTCCCGTAGGGATGATTAAAAAGTAAACGAACCCTTCTATCCATTCCCAATGCAAATGAATTAGAAGAAAATGCAGCTACATCAACAGAGGTACTTACCCCTCCCGAGGGAAGCTGAGGTCTTATTAGGGTAGTGAACACCGTGCCAGATGTTTTGAGAGTGCCGATTGAGAGAAGGTACAGACACGGGAAACGTTAGCATTTACTTTGGAGTTAAGGTGACGCAGGAACCGTCACTGCAGCGTTTGCTTTGCGTTCAGATGCGGCAGCTCAGCGCAGCTGTAGGTGGAGGAGCGTGCCAGGGAGGGGGGAGCTGGGATGCAGCTGCAATCTACACTCGCAGGGGTCTGTCCTGCCTCCCGAGGCTGCGTTGCGGTGGGCGCGAAAGGCTCGTGTGTACCGAAGTATAGGGGACCTGTCTGCAGCAGGAGGGACTCGAAGGACACGGAGGATTATATCACTGAAGGCATAAGATTCAGAGGTGCCCGCGGTCTAGCATCCCCCAGTTTGGGCGGAAAGTCGAACTGCTCACAACGGCGGTCCTCGCGAGCGCCTAGCACAGCGGCTGCAATGCCTCGTCCGATCCTGCGAGGGCCGCTAGGAGCGAGTCACGGCGCGGGGCCGCTCTGGTCGCCCGCGAGTGTCGGTGGCCCCGCCCCGCCCGCAGCCGCGGGTGGAGACCGAGGACGGCGCCGGCGCGTGCGCGCTCCCTCGGTGCGGCGGGCTGCGTGCGCGAGTGGGAGGTGGCAGGCCTGCGACTCCGGCCTTGTCCGCGCCCGCTCTCGGCGCGACGTCTCCAGCCATGAACCGGTTTGGTACCCGGTTGGTGGGAGCCACGGCGACTTCTTCGCCGCCGCCGAAGGCCCGCAGCAATGAAAACCTCGACAAAATAGATATGTCTTTGGGTGAGGGGCCGAGTTGGACCGAGTTGGAGTGCGGGGGAGGGCGCGGGTGGAAGCCGGCGGCGCGGTTTGTGGGGGCAGGGGCGGTCGGCAGCAGTTGCCGGCGGAGTTTTCTCGCTGGTGGGCGGACCCGAGCGGAGGCCCGGAGGACAGCCGGGAGCGCAGGCTCGACGCCAGGTGCCCGGCTGGACCGCGAGGGACCCGGGCGTCCCCTCGGCCGCGGCAGTCGGAGGAGGGGCTGTGGAGGCGGGGGCAGGGGCGCTGCGGGCCCGAAGGTTCGCAGGGTCGCGGGGGGCGTCTCTTCTCCCCGGAGGGGCTACGGCTCGCCGCTCGCCGGCTCTTTGTGAGGAAAGATCTGCCGGTTTCCCCGGAGCGCGTTCGCGGTGGGCGTTATCGGGGAGCGAGGGGAATGGTCCGACCGAGCCGTTCTCTCTGAAGAAAGGTCTTGGAGAGCCCGGCCGGGGCTGCGGTCGGTTAAACCAGCGCTTCCGGAGCTTTCCCTGGTCGCCGGGCGTTCCAGGCCGGCGCCGGCCATGGCTGCCGGGCGCGACTCTCGGGGCCACCTCCGGCCGCGGCCCCGGAGCGTCTGTCAGAAAGGAAGCAGCGCTCGGCCGCCTGTGGGATGTGGTTGTGTATTGAGCGCTGCCTAGAAAAGCACAGTCTCCCTCTCCAGGCCTCAGAGCTAGCTAATGGGGGAGAAAGCAAACATCTTTGAAGGAGAGATGATTGCTGTGGCTCGCTGAGAAGCCAGGTAAAGCGTGGGGTTCTTGAGCGCATCTGAGAGGGTGGCGTGGTTTCTTGCCGATTATATAAAAACCGGGAGGTTGGTGATTCCATTAAAATCCAGCCCTGACACTACCGAGGCACCAGCCGCTGTGGTTAGCTTAGGTGGGCTAAAAGTACGAATATTTTTGTCGGGATTCAAGTGATGGCGTTGGGTGTAAGTCAGCTCTGCCAGGTGTTTGGCTGGCAGTTTTTCGGATATTTGAAAAGTACCTGACTAGTGGATTCCGAGGCGTACCCTTTCCCAGGACGGTCTTTAGAGTGATAACTGTCTTGGAAACCTTCTTTCGGTTTTCATTTCTTCCCATTTGTCTTGTGTGTCTTTTGTTGTGGTTTATCTGGAACGTTTTTGGTTCCAGGTGAGATGGGAACTATTGATTTCTACGATTGCCACAGTCAGAATCCAGTATGTGAACTAAGCAAATGATCAGAAATAATAGGTTTGGCCTCAAGTCTTGCCTTGCTGCTGGTTAGTAGTGAGCTTGTAAGAAATGAGAAAGCTGGGGCTGGGCGCGGTGGCTCACGCCTGCAATCCCAGCCCTTTGAAGGCGGAGGCGGAGGCAGGCAGATGGCTTGAGCCCAGGAGTTCGAGACCAGCCCGGGCAGCAAGGTGAAATCCCATGTCTACTAAAAATACTAAAATTAGCCGGGCGTGGTGGCCGCGCGCCTGTAATCCCAGCTAAGACATGAGAATAGCTGGAACCCGCGGGCGGATGTTGCAGTGAGCCGATTGCGCCACTGCACTCCAGCCTGGGCGGCAGAGCGAGACCCTGTCTCCCCCCGCTCTCCCCCCCCGCAAAAAAGAGAGAGAAACCTTTTGAGGTAAGGCCAACAAATAATGTAATAATGAATATTTATTGAGTGCTTACTACCTACCAGGTCCTGTACTAAGCATTTTATATGTTAACTCAGTTTATCCTCGTCATAACTCTGTGAGGATTCTAGCGATGGAGAGCACGGAACCCAGAACCACATTGTCTCAGTTCAGGTCCTGGACTAAGCATTAAATTAAATTAATTAATTAATTAATTATTTGAGACGGAGTCTGGCTCTGTCGCCCAGGTTGGAGTGCAGTGGTGTGATCTCGGGTCGCTGCAACCTCCGCCTCCCGGGTTCCAGCAGTTCTCCTGCCTCAGCCTCCCGAGTAGCTGTGATTACAGGCACACGCCAGCGCTGGTGGCCGGCTAATTTTCATATTTTTAGTAGAGACAGGGTTTCACCATGTTGGCCAGGCTGGTCTCGAACTCCTGACCTCAGGTGATCTGTCTGCCTTGGCCTCCCCTACAGGCGTGAGCCGCCGCACCCGGCCAGCATTTTATATATTAACTCAGTTTATCCTCATGATAAGTCTGTGAGGGTTGTACTCCTAGTGATTGACAGCATGGAATCCAGATCCACACTGTCTCCTTTCAGGTCCTGCCTCTGCCACTTTGTAACCATGTAACCGTGGGCAGATGATTTCCCAGTGCCTCATCTGTAGAAAGGTGACAGTAAGTAGTGTTTACCACATAGGGTTGCTGAAAACATTAAATGAGTCAGAAGGCATATGTGAACTGCTTAGAACAGGACCTGGTACACAGCACTGTATTTTTCCACATACACTATATATATGTGTGTATGTCTGTATGTATGCTTTTATTTTTATACATACACTATATGTAGTATGTCTGTATATATGCCTTTATTTTTATACATACACTGTATGTGTGTATGTATATATGGCTTTATTTTTCTACATACACTACATATATGTGTATGTATGTCTATGGCTTGGTTATTTTTATACATACACTATATATATGTGTATGTATATATGGCTTTGTTATTTTTATACATACACTACATATATGTGTGTATGTCTATATATGGCTTGGTTGTTTTTATACATACACTATATATATGTGTGTATGTCTGTATATATGCTTTTGTTATTTGTTGTTATTTCCATTTTACAGAAATCAGAGGCATAGAGAAATTAAGTAACTTGCTCGAAGTCATACAAGGTAGTTAAGTGGTGGTGCCAGGATTTCAGTCTGATTCTAGAGCCTCAAGTTGTTTTACACCTAGATTTCTTACGTTTCTAGGTTTTCTGTTTTCTTTTTTGTATGTGTTTTGTTTGATGATTAGTACGTTCAAGTGAAGAAAACTGAGGGGTAGTTCTCTTGGAGGTAGCAATGAAGTGCTGTGGAGAGCTGAAACAGCTTGATATCTTTCTTTCCCCCAGGAACATACAGCAGTCCCTCTATTGCCTTTCTTTTGGTGAGAATTTTACAGAAATGGGATGAAGAGATCATCCCATTTCTATCCTAGACATCATCTATCCTAGGCAGTTACTATGCTTTGTGAATGTTTAATCTTACCAGGTTTGCAGAGGTTTTTTTGTTTTAAATCATGGCTTTGCCAGGTGTATATGAATTTCACATAGAGTACCAAGTTTACCAATAGCTGGCCTCATGGTTCAATTCCTTAATTTGAAAATCGGTGTTATGGTGATACTTATTTCATAGGATTGTTGTGAATTAAGTGAATACATGTCAGAACTGTTGGTACTAACATTGCTGGTGCCTGTGCTGTAGTACTTACCACCACCACTGCTGCTACTGCTGCTATTACTATTACCATGTATATTCCTCTAGTGCTATGGAAGAAACTTAAAATAGCTCATTGTAAGGAATTTTTTTTTTTTTTTAATTCTGATACCTGTGTATCTATTCATTGGGCAGGAGAAAGCCGTTTTCTTTTTTTAGATTGAAAGAATCCTCTCGGCCATGGTAGCTCATTTGACTTATTTGAAGATATAGGTAGTAAAATGTTGAAATGTGAAATGTAATTTTATATTTAATATGCTCTGCTACTTCTGATTTTTAGTTATATTTAGACTTTATATGCTGTATTTTATTTTATTTATTTATTTATTTTGAGACGGAGTCTTGCTCTGTCGCCCAGGCTGGAGTGCAGTGGCACGATCTCGGCTTCCCAGGTTCACAACATTCTCCTGCCTCAGCCTCCCAAGTAGCTGGGACTACAGGCGCCCACCGCCACACCCGGCTAATTTTTTGTATTTTTTAGTAGACACAGGGTTTCACCATATTAGCCAGGATGGTCTCGATCTCCTGACCTCATGATCCGCCCACTTCGGCCTCCCAAAGTGCTGGGATTACAGGCGTGAGCTACCGCACCCGGCCTATATGCTATATTTTAAGATGAACTTTGTTAGTCAGAATTGTACTTTGCCTCTTTTTTTTAATGCTCCCCAGACAAAATTCATTTTTTTGGTTTACTCTCAAGGCTTGAGATTTTAGACTTTTGATGAAGAGTAAGTAGCACTTTGTGAAAGGAAAGTGGTGTCTCATAAATAGTGTCTTCCTTGGTATTCCCTTTATGCTTATTGAGATACATGTTTATATATCTGATGTTGACCTTTTAATTTTTTACAAAAGTTTTTGAGTGCCCTTAACTTTGATGAACTTTTTCGTAGTTGGACATTAATTTCAAGAAGACAACTAAATATTTTGGGGAGATTTGAGATATTTTGTGTGAATATTTGAGTGTAATTAAGAGTCTTAAAGATTAGAGATTGGTTAGGTAGAACAGTAATATATTACAAAGGACCTTCAAGTTATATTTCCTTCTCTGACTTCTGGAAAGACTAATTATAGTGACAAAAAAATTGAGTTTAATTAGTTTCATAGAGTTTTATTAAGAATTTGTTGACTGTATGCAATTTCTTTGTTTTATTTGCTTTCTCAATTATGAAATAATACTGGAATTAGGACTATGGAGGAAATGTTTGTGGGTTTTTTTTTTTCTTTCTTTTTTTTTTTTTTTGAAAGACAGTCTTGCTCTGTTGCCTAGGCTGGAGTGCAGTGGCGTGATTGTGGCTCACTGCAGCCTTGACCACTTGAGCTCAAGGAATTCTCCCACCTCAGCCTCCTGGGTAGCTGGGACCACGGGCACGCACCACCATGCCTGGCTAATTTTTAAAAATTATTTGTGGAGATGAGGTTTTGCTGTGTTGCCCAGGTTGGTCTCGAACTCTTGGGCTGAAGCATTCTCCCATCTCACCTCTAAAAGTGCTGAGGTTACAGGCATGTGCCCAGCTGGATATTTCTTAAATGAGTATTTTTGGCTTCTAGTAACCTCTTTTAACAGATATAAATGGGAATCTGGAGTACATTTAGTTTTCTGGTCTTCACCTTGTTCTGTTGTGTATTTTTGTTTGTGAATTACCTTGGGGCAGTTTGGAAGTATGTTTGGAAGTAATGAGGCTTAGATCAGTGTAGAAAGAAAAATAAGGTAACTTGAAGTACTTTGCTAGAGGTGAGTCATTAGTATTTTTTGTACTATACCTTTATTATGGCACTTGTTTAATTTTGTATTTGCTATTTGCATGTCTGTTTCCATCAGTACTTTTAAACTTATTTAGAAAAGGGACCGTATTTTACTTTTGTTTCAGTTACAGCACAACCTGACACATATATTTGTTGCATGTAGTATATGCTCAGTAAATATTTGCTGAATTTCAACATTTAGTATTTTAGTTGAATGGTTTAATTTTTGATTACCTATATATTGGAAGGTGGTCATCTTTTTTTACTTTTTCTTTTTTTTTATGGAGTCTCGCTCTGTCACCCAGGCTGGAGTGCAGTGGTGCGATCTTGGCTCACTGCAACCTCTGCCTCCCGAGTTCAACCAATTCTTCTGCCTCAGCCTCCCGAGTAGCTGGGATTACAGGCATGCACCGCCATACCCGGCTAATTTATTTATTTATTTATTTATTTATTTATTTATTTATTTATTTATTTGTATTTTTAGTAGAGACGGGATTTCACCATGTTGGTCAGGCCAGTCCCGAACTCCTGACCTCAAATGATCCGCCCACCTCAGCCTCCCAAAGTGCTGGGATTATAGGTGTGAGTCACCATGCCTGGCCGGAAGGGGGTCATCTTTAAAAAATGGAGCCTTCTGTGATTATGGGAAGTAAGTAGGAAAATGGAGGCTTCTGTGTTTTTGGGAAGTAAGTAGGAAAATGGACGCTTCTGCGATTATGGGAAGTAGGTAGGAAAATGGAGGCTTCTGTGATTATGGGAAGTAGGTAGGAAAATGGAGGCTTCTGTGATTATGGGAAGTAGGTAGGAAAATGGAGGCTTCTGTGATTATGGGAAGTAGGTAGGAAAATGGAGGCTTCTGTGATTATGGGAAGTAGGTAGGAAATTGGAGGCTTCTGTGATTACGGGAAGTAGGTAGGAAATTAGAGGCTTCTGTGATTATGGGAAGTAAGTAGGAAATTGGAGGCTTCTGTGATTATGGGAAGTAAGTAGGAATAACTTGTAAACAGGCTTCTGCTTGATTCATCAGGTAAAGAAATACTATGGCCAATAGCACTCTTCATTAATTGGTAGATCTGCTTTGGGCTATTGTAAAATGGCTGATTCTTGTTATTATCCTCTTATGGAAGTGCTTTCAAAGTAGAAAAGAAGTTAGGAACGTAGGACATCTATCAGCTAGAAAACGAAACTGAGTAATTGAGTTAAGTTAAAATGAAAATAATTGACATTTCCTCTATCATAGATGATATCATCAAGTTGAATCGAAAGGAAGGGAAGAAGCAGAATTTTCCAAGACTAAATAGAAGACTCCTCCAGCAAAGTGGTGCCCAGCAATTCAGGATGAGAGTGCGATGGGGAATCCAACAGAATTCTGGTAAGTTTTGAAAGTAAGCTTTAATGGAAAGCTGTTATTTGTGTGTTCATAGTGTACTGTCTTTAGCATATGCTTAACGTGGAGGAATGCGTCAGTACTCTTTGTGTTTTGTGTTTCCTCTATGCCTAGGTTTTTGTTTAGATCTAAAACCTGGTAAAAATTTCAGTAGCCTTCAATAGACGTAACACTGTCTCTTAAACGTTGTAAGTCATTTAAAAGTAACTTCAGTTTATACACAGTCTAAATTATATTCAGAGTTTAGAATTGCAAAGGATCTTATATATCATGAGCTCCTATCTTCATCCAAGTGAGATGTTCCTTTAACAGTCTGTCTAATGGATGACTAACTCCAGCTTAAATATATTCAGTGAAAGAGCATACTACCTCACAAGCATGAGCCACTGTGCCTGGCCTCTTAATTTGGATTAAAGCATGCCTATCACTTCGGTAAAGTTATAGAAAGCAAATTCTCTTTTGTATATGAGAACTCTTTAAGTATGTGGAGACTACTGTTACATTCTGCATAGAAAATGACCTCCAGACTCCTTATCTTATCATCCAAGAACTTTAGGATTTGTTAAATCTTCCAAAGTTGACACTCAGAAATGAATGCTTTAGATATAATGTGGAACTCTACACATTTAGTTATTTTTGATAATCTGGAAGCTTATTTATAACCATCTTGATTGAAGGCAGTAATTGAACACTAATATATATGGCTTGTTAACTTCTTTATCAGCAATATCAGAATTTTAGAATAAATATTTGTTGAAATAAAAGAACTAAATCTTTTTCAGATATGTAAAAATATGTTTGACAAACTAACTTCCAAATTGATTTTTATTCTATATGTTGAAAAACATAAAAATAATCTCCAGTAGGTTGAACATAATTAGTTCTGTGTTTACAGCTAATATCCCATTATATCCTCAAAATATGTATAACTGAAGCTGAGCACAGTGGCTTATGCCTGTAATCCCAGAACTTTGGGAGGATCAGTTGAATCCAGGAATCTGAGACCAGCTTGGGCAACACAGGGAGACCCTGTCTCCACAAAAAATTTAAAAATTAGCCAGGCGTGGTGGTACCTCTTTCTGGTCCCAGCCACTCAGGAGTTTGAGGTGGGAAGATGGCTTGAGCCTGGGAGATCAAGACCACAGTGAGCCATGATGGCACCACAGCACTCCAGCATGAGACTCTGTCTCAAGAAAAGTACATATAACTGAGATTGGGCCCTTAAAAAAAATTATTCATCTCTAATAATTTTTTGAATAGTTGAACCTAAGGGAGTAAATTTCATGACAGGTATTTAACTGTAGCAAATGAAGTTTAGTTCCAGTGATTTATATTTAAATTTTTTTTTGAGACGGAGTTTTGCTCTTGTTGCCCAGGCTGGAGTGCAAAGGCACGATCTTGGCTCACTGCAGCCTCTGCCTCCCGGGTTCAAGCGATTCTCCTGCCTCAGCCTCCCAAGTAGCTGGGATTACAGGCATGCGCCACCATGCCCAGCTAATTTTGTATTTTTAGGAGAGACAGGGTTTCTCCACGTTGGTCAGGCTGGTCTCGAACTCCCAGCCTCAGGTGATCCACCTGCCTCGGCCTCCTGCCTCAGCCCCACAAAGTGCTGGGATTACAGGCGTGAGCCACTGCGCCTGGCCTAAATATTTCTTATAAATGTTATTGAACATACTATATATTTTTGTATTATTTGTTTTTAAAATAACTGTTGAGAGTTCATAGAACCAGAAATATATTTATTAATTAATGTTTATCAAATATTTAACATGAATATATTTCAGTGTTAAATACTTGATAGATACCCTAAACTGATTGGGTCCTAGGGGGTACATAAAGATGTGGTCTTCTACTTCAAGGAATTAATTTCCGGTGTTAGAGATAAGATGGAAAAGGTAGTGTGGGAGAAATGTTGTAAGAGAAATTCAAATAGTATTATAGGACTTTAGAGATTTTGTACTAAGAAGATCAGGAGTGATTTAATGGATAAGGTGAAATATGATCTGGTCCATGAAGTGTCAGAAAAGCTTTCCTTTTATGGATGTTATGATCTGAGCCTTGAAATAAATGATATCTAGGGGCAGCTTAGGATCTCCTAAGATTGAGCTTGCCCTTGTATGTTTATTGCTTACATGTGACACGGGCTAAAATAGAACAGCTGCCACTGTTACTGAATGTACAGAGATAGAGGATTGTCTTAAACTCTGATTGGCTAGGAAAAAGTTCAGATTTCCACGTTGTAATGTCAATGAGGATGTTAGCTTGAGGTAAGAGAAATAAGTAGGACAGAGGAGCTCTTTGCAGATCCGCGGTATGATTTCTGATGGCTGAACAAGTCAATGAATGAAATCTTTAACTTCGTGTGTGAAAAATAATTTAGGCACTCAGTAAATACTTGGAGAAACAACCCAAATGTTCTTCAGTGGTAGAGCGTATAGAGTTGTTCTTCAGTGGTAGAATGTATAGAGTTGTTCTTCAGTGGTAGAAAGTATAGAGTTGTTCTTCAGTGGTAGAAAGTATAGAGTTGTTCTTCAGTGGTAGAATGTATAGAGTGTTCTTCAGTGGTAGAATGTATAGAGTTGTTCCTCAGTGGTAGAATGTATAGAGTTGTTCCTCAGTGGTAGAATGTATAGAGTGTTCTTCAGTGGTAGAATGTATAGAATTGTTCTTCAGTGGTAGAAAGTATAGAGTTGTTCTTCAGTGGTAGAACATATAGAGTGTTCTTCAGTGGTAGAATGTATAGAATTGTTCTTCAGTGGTAGAATGTATACAGTTGTTCCTCAGTGGTAGAATGTATAGAGTGTTCTTCAGTGGTAGAACGTATAGAGTTGTTCTTCAGTGGTAGAATGTATGGAGTTGTTCTTCAGTGGTAGAATGTATAGAGTGTTCTTCAGTGGTAGAATGTGTGGAGTTGTTCCTCAGTGGTAGAATGTATGGAGTTGTTCCTCAGTGGTAGAACGTATGGAGTTGTTCCTCAGTGGTAGAACGTATAGAGTGTTCTTCAGTGGTAGAGCGTATAGAGTTGTTCTTCAGTGGTAGAACGTATAGAGTTGTTCTTCAGTGGTAGAACGTATAGAGTTGTTCTTCAGTGGTAGAACGTATAGAGTTGTTCCTCAGTGGTAGAACGTATAGAGTTGTTCCTCAGTGGTAGAACGTATAGCGTGTTCTTCAGTGGTAGAACATATAGAGTTGTTCTTCAGTGGTAGAATGTATAGAGTGTTCTTCAGTGGTAGAACGTATAGAGTTGTTCTTCAGTGGTAGAACGTATAGAGTGTTCTTCAGTGGTAGAACGAATAGGGTGTTCTTCAGTGGTAGAATGTATAGGGTGTTCCTCAGTGGTAGAATGTATAGAGTGTTCTTCAGTGGTAGAATGTATAGAGTTGTTCCTCAGTGGTCGAATGTATGGAGTTCTTCAGTGGTAGAACATACGGAGTTGTTCTTCAGTGGTAGAATGTATGGAGTTGTTCTTCCGTGGTAGAACGTATAGAGTTGTTCTTCAGTGGTAGAACGTATAGAATGTTCCTCAGTGGTAGAACGTATAGAATGTTCCTCAGTGGTAGAACTTATAGAGTGTTCCTCTGTGGTAGAACGTATTGAGTTGTTCCTCAGTGGTAGAACATATCGAGTTGTTCCTCAGTGGTAGAACGTATAGAATTGTTCTTCAGTGGTAGAACGTATAGAGTGTTCTTCAGTGGTAGAAGGTACAGAGTTGTTCTTTAGCGGTAGAATGTATGGAGTGTTCTTCAGTGGTAGAATGTATAGAGTTGTTTTTCAGTGGTAGAATGTATAGAGTGTTCTTCAGTGGTAGAATGTATAGAGTTGTTCTTCAGTGGTAGAATGTATAGAGTTGTTCTTCAGGGGTAGAATGTATGAGTTCTTCAGGGGTCTTCACGGGTAGAATGTATAGAGTTCTTCAGGGGTAGAATGTATAGAGTTGTTCTTCAGGGGTAGAATGTATAGAGTTGTTCTTCAGGGGTAGAATTTATAGAGTGTTTTTCAATGGTAGAATATATAGGGTTGTTCTTCTGTGGTAGAATGTATAGAGTTGTTCCTCAGTGGTAGAATGTATACAGTTGTTCTTCAGTGGTAGAACATATAGAGTTGTTCTTCAGTGGTATAATGTATGGAGTTGTTCTTCAGTGGTAGAATGTATAGAGTGTTCTTCAGTGGTAGAATGTGTGGAGTTGTTCCTCAGTGGTAGAATGTATGGAGTTGTTCCTCAGTGGTAGAATGTATAGATTTGTTCCTCAGTGGCAGAATGTGTAGAGTGTTCTTCAGTGGTAGAATGTATAGAATTGTTCTTCAGTGGTAGAATGTATAGAGTTGTTCCTCAGTGGTAGAACTTATGGAGTGTTCTTCAGTGGTAGAATGTATAGAGTGTTCTTCAGTGGTAGAATGTATAGACTTGTTCTTCAGTGGTAGAATGTATAGAGTTGTTCCTCAGTGGTAGAATGTATAGACTTGTTCTTCAGTGGTAGAATGTATAGAGTTGTTCCTCAGTGGTAGAATGTATAGAGTTGTTCTTCAGTGGTAGACTGTATAGAGTGTTCTTCAGTGGTAGAATGTATAGAGTTGTTCTTCAATAGTAGGATGTATAGAGTTGTTTCTCAGTGGTAGAATGTATAGAGTGTTCTTCAGTGGTAGAATGTATATACTTGTTCTTCAGTGGTAGAATGTATAGAGTTGTTCTTCAATAGTAGAATGTATAGAGTTGTTCCTCAGTGGTGGAATGTATAGAGTTGTTCCTCAGTGATAGAGTGTATAGCATGTTCTTCAGTGGTAGAATGTATAGAATTGTTCTTCAGTGGTAGAATGTATAGAATTGTTCTTCAGTGGTAGAATGTATAGAGTTGTTCCTCAGTGGTAGAACGTATAGAGTGTTCTTCAGTGGTAGAATGTATAAAGTGTTCTTCAGTGGTAGAATGTATAGAATTGTTCTTCAGTGGTAGAATGTGTAGAGTTGTTCCTCAGTGGTAGAATGTATAGAGTGTTCTTCAGTGGTAGAATGTATAGAATTGTTCTTCAGTGTTAGAATGTATAGAGTTGTTCTTCAGTGGTGGAATGGTATAGAGTTCTCAAAATGTCGTCAGGTACCCTTGGGGATCCCTAAGACATGGGGGATCCACAAGATCAAAACTAATTTCATGTTAGTACTAAGGCGTTAATTGTATTTTGACTCTTACTCTCTCAGGAATGTACAGTAGCCTTTTCCAGAGTCTACATGATGTCTGATAATTAAAGTAGATTGAATGCAAAAGCAGGATCTTAGTTCAGTGGGCTGTAACAAAGTACCATAGACTAGGTAGCTTATAAACAACAGAAGTTTATTTTGCACAGTTTTGGAGATTAGCAGTTCAAGGTCAGGATGTCAGCAAGGTCAGGTTCTGGTGAGAGTTCTCTTCCAGGTTGCAGACTTTGGACTTCTTTTGATGTCCTTGTGTGGCAGAAAGAAGGCTAGAGAGCTCTCCAGGGTCACTTTTGTAAGGACACTAATCCCATTCATGGTGGCTCCATCCTCATGACTTTACCTCCCAAAGCCCTCTCCTGTTAATACCATCACATTAAGTGTTAGTATTTCAACATGTGAATTTTGGAGAGTTACAAACATTCAGTCCTTAACAAGCAGTTGTGAGAATCTAGTTGTCTTCTATTAAGGCAGACACCAAAGAGATCCAAAAACAATATACCACTGTTCTTACTAAATATTTTTATTTGTTTTGGAAAATAAAAATAATGAGGCCAGGCGCGGTGCTCACGCCTGTAATCCCAGCACTTTGGGAGGCCGAGACAGGCAGATCACAAGGTCAGGAGTTCGAGAGCAGCCTGGCCAATATGGTGAAAGCTTGTCTCTACTAAAAATATAAAAATTAGCCGGGCATGGTGGCGGGCACCTGTAGTCCCAGCTACTCGGGAGGCTGAGGCAGGAGAATCGCTTGAACCTGGGAGGTGGAGATTGTAGTGAGCCGAGATCGCGTCACTGCACTCCACCCTGGGTGACAGAGCGAGACTCTGTCTCAAACATAAAAAAGGCCGGGCGCGGTGGCTCATGCCTGTAATCCCAGCACTTTGGGAGGCCGAGGCAGGCAGATCATGAGATCGGGAGATCGAGACCGTCCTGGCTAACACAGTGAAACCCTGTCTCTACTAAAAATACAAAAAATTAGCTGGGCGTGGTAGCGGGCACCTGTAGTCCCAGCTGCTCAGGAGGCTGAGGCAGGAGAAAGGTGTGAACCTGGCAGGCGGAGCTTGCAGTGAGCCGAGATCGCGGCCACTGCACTCCAGCCTGGGCGACAGAGTGAGACTCCGTCTCCAAAAAAAAAACTAGTGGATACTAGGCTTAATACCTCAGCGATGGAATAATCTGTACAGCAAACCCCCGTGATACATGTTTACCTGTGTAACAAACCTGCACATCCTGCACGTGTACCCCAACCTTAAAATAAAAGTTAAAATTTGTTCTTTTTCATTTAAAAAGAGATGTTTACCCTATGTGTAATGAGTTTATTATTATTTTTTAAGTGAAATGGTTTTTAACTATCTTACTAATAGTTTTTATTTTGGCCGGGCGTGGTGGCTCACCCAGGTAATCCCAGCACTTTGGGAGCCCGAGGTGGGTGGATCACCTGAGGTCAGGAGTTTGAGACCAGCCTGGCCAACATGGCAAAACCCTATCTCTACTAAAAATACAACAATTAGCCGGGTGTGGTGGCACATAGCTGTAATCCCAGCTCCTCGGGAGCCTGAGGCAGGAGAATCGCTTGAACTGGGGAGGCGGAGGTTGCGGTGAGCCGAGATCGCACCATTGCACTCCAGCCTGGGCGACAGAGTGAGACTCTTGTCTCAAAAAAAAAAAAAAAAGTTTTTATTTTAATTGCAGTAAATATAACCCACAGACACAAAAACTTTGGAGTCCTCAATTGTTAAGCATATGAAGAGGTTCGTGCTTGTAATCCCAGCACTTTGGGAGGTGAGAGCAAGAGGATTGCTTAAGCCAAGGACTTCAGGACCAGCGTGGGCAACATAGGGAGACCCCGTCTCTACAAAAAAAAAGAAAGAGTATAAAGAGGTACTGAGACTAAAAAGTTTGAGAATGCTGTTCTTACTAGAGGTAGAAGAGTTGGGAATATTTGTATGTTGCTTTGGAAAGGAGCCAATAATATGATTACATATACTGTAGAATGTGACATTTCCCAGAAAATCCCTCAAATCTTTATTTAGATGATAAGGCTCCTGAAATTATTGGGACATATGATGTATGTGGAAAGAAATTCATGAATAGATTAGTCTTGGGATTCAAGAGAAAGATGAAAATGTCTTTCTCTAGTTTCAGCTGTTGTCAACCTTAGTTGCACCTGCGGAGCTTTGTGAACTAGACGCTCTGGCGGTACTTTATTTCTACTGAACCAGGACCTGTAGAGGTAGGGCTTGGAGGATTTTTTTTAAGCTCCATGGATGATTCTGATACCTAACTGGTTTTAAACTACTGCTCTGGTGGAGCTGAAAATGTAAAAGGGTCTTCATAAAGGGTGGTAGTTGAAGTACATGGAGAATGTGGGTACTCTGGAACTCTGCAGAGAGGCTCAATGAATGAAAACTAAGAAAAGACTGTTGCATTGGATGAAGTCTTTAGTACCCCTTCATAGTGCTTTTTAGAATGTAAGACAGTTACAGAGCATAAGAGGGAAGGGGAGATAATTGGGGCAGTATGTATACATTTTTCTTACTTTATGTAATGTGACAATGAAAGGGTAAAGAATATAATCATTGCTAAAACAGATACAGCTAATGAAGTTTGTTCAAAGGTAGAAAGGTGGGAGAACGAATCATATAGGCCTGATTAGAAAGCAGAGGAGGAGGCGGGGCCAAGTGGCTCACGCCAGTAATCCCAGCACTTTGGGAGGCCGAGGTGGGCAGATTACGAGGTCAGGAGTTCAAGACCAGCCTGGCCAACATAGTGAAACCCCATCTCTACTAAAAATGCAAAAAATTAGCTGGGCATGGTGGTGGGCGCCTGTAGTCCCAGCTACTCAGGAGGCTGAGGCAGGAGAATGGTGTGAACCCGGGAGGCGGAGCTTGCAGTGAGCCGAGATCGCGCCGCTACACTCCAGCCCGGGTGACAGAGCGAGAGTCCGTCCCAAAAAAAAAAAAAAAAGCAGAGGAGGCAACACCTTGGATAAGAGAAAAAAAAAACAGCAGAAAGATTGATAAGTATGGGACCAATGTACTGTACTATCAATAGAAATAGAAAGCGCCAAGGGATGGAGTTCTATTCCATACTTTTTTTTTTTGGGGGGGGAGGATGGAGTCTTGCCCTGTCACCCAGGCTGGAGTGTGGTAGTGCGATCTTGGCTCGTTGCAACCTCCGCCTCCCAGGTCAAGCGATTCTCATGCCTCAGCCTCCCCAGTAGCTGGGATTACAGGTGTGCACCACCACGCCTGGTGGCTAATTTTTATATTTTTAGTAGAGACGAGGTTTCACCATGTTGGTCAGGCTGGTCTCGAACTCCTGACCTCAAATGATCCACCCGCCTCAGCCTCACTAAATGTTGGAATTACAGGCGTGAGCCACGGTACCCAACCTTATTTCATACTTAAGATCTTGTTTTAATCCATTTGATTCCTATTTATGAGAGTTTCTTGTCAGTCTTTCTCATCTAGTCCTGAAATTTTGGTATAATAATGGGTTCGTCCTCCTTTTAATCGTTTCTTTTTTGCCCTACAAACTCACTTATTCTTTTGGAATATTTTCCAGTTTCTTCCTTTCTCAAGGAAGATTGTTAGCATCAGTCTTATCAGATTATCATACAAATTATAGTACTCAGCACAGTGCCTAGCACAGTGAAGGGTAGCTGTTACATTATTTAACACAAATAGCAAGTCATTGTATATTGGAATTAATTTTAATGTACAGTTTTTCCCAATATGGTTTAATCTTCATCTAGTTGCAATTTTAGAAGGAAACCACACATAGGGCAGCAATAATTTGATTTAAAAACTAAAGACTTTAAGCCAGCCGTGGTGGCTCACGCCTGTAACCCCAGCACTTTGGGAAGTTGAGGCAGGCAGATCACCTGAGGTCAGGAGTTTGAGACCAGCCTGGCCAACATGGTGAAACCCTGTCTGTACTAAAAATACAAAAATAGTCCGGGCGCAGTGGCTCACACCTGTAATCCAAGCACTCTCGGAGGCTGAGGCGGGCGGATCACAAGGTCAGGAGATCAAGACTATCCTGGCTAACACAGCGAAACCCTGTCTCTACTAAAAATATAAAAAATTAGCCGGGCATCGTATTGGGCACCTGTAGTACCAGCTACTTGGGAGACTGAGGCAGGAGAATGGCATGAACCTGGGAGGCGGAGGTTGCATTGAGCCGAGATCACACCACTGCACTCCAGCCTGGGCAACAGAGCAAGACTCTGTCTCAAAAAAATATGTATATGTATAACTGGGTGTGGTGGCAGGCACCTGTAATCCCAGCTACTCGGGAGGCTGAGGCAGGAGAATTCTTTGAACCCAGGAGGTGGAGGTTGCAGTGAGCTGAGATCATGCCATTGCACTCCAGCCTGGGCAACAGAGCGAGACTCTGTCTCAAAAAAAAAAAAAAAAAGAGTTTGCTTTACTGTTTAACCTAGCATTTCACCTTCTAGAAACTCACATCTTCAGAAAATAATCATGGATGTGTTTAAAAATATATCTGTGGTTCTATTGTGATATTATTTATAATTAGAACTAACTGAAATGATTAGTATAAAGTTGGTTTGGATCAAGTATGGCATATTAAAAAGTAATGCGATAAAAGGATGTCAAAAACATGGGATAATATTTTTGCAATATAGGTGTGTGTCGTGTTTGAGACTGGTGTGTGTGTGTGTGTGTGTGTGTGTGTGTTTGAGACAGGGTCTTGCTCTGTCACCCCAGCCTGGAGTACAGTGTGATCTTGGCTCACTGTAACCTCTGCTTCCCAGGCTCAAATGATCCTCCTGCCTCAGCCTCCCTATTATCTGGGACTACAGGTACGCGCCACTGCACCTGGCTAATTTTTGTATTTTTTCTAGAGATGGGGTGTCGCCATGTTGCCCAGGCTGGTCTCGAACTCCTGGGCTCAAGCAATCCATCCTTCTCAGTCTCCCAAAGTGCTGGGATTATAGGCATCAGCCACCATGCCCAGCCTGCAGTACAGGATTAGTGTAGGGCTACAAAATAGTATGTAGAGTTGTGTAGTTGCCGAAAGATTGACTCAGTTCACCTTCTACTATAAAATTGAGGCACTACTATAAAATTGAGAATTACTACAGATGATAGTCTTGAGTTGCTTAAAAATAGTTAAAACCAAAAATGTTAACTTTTAAAATATATGTATACAAGTAAAAGAAAGACTAGAAAGACAGAATGTCAGTGGTCATCTCTAGGTGGTAGGCTGATGGGTGATGTTTATTTTCTTATTTGTACTTTATGTGTTTCTAGGAATTCTGCAGTGAACATGTCTATTTTTTAATTTACCCCCTTTTTTTTTTTAACGGGCAGCCCCTGAACCAGAATAGGTTCAGAGACACTCCCAATTTATTTTTTATTTATTTACTTTTTTTGAGACGGAGTCTCGCTCTTCGCCCAGGCTGAAGTGCAGTGGCACGATCTCGGCTCACTGCAAGCTCCGCCTCCCAGTTCACGCCATTCTCCTGCCTCAGCCTCCCGAGTAGCTGGGACTACAGGCACCCGCCACCACGCCTGGCTAATTTTTTGTATTTTTAGTACAGATGGGGTTTCACTGTGTTTGCCAGGATGGTCTCGATCTCCTGACCTTGTGATCCACCTGCCTCGGCCTTCCAGAGTGCTGGGATTACAGGTGTGAGCCACTGCACCTGGCTGCTATTTTTTTTTTTTTAACTAGAAAAAAGTATTTACTTATTTATTTATATATTTATTTATTTTTTAATCTATTTATTTTTTGGAGACAGGGTCTCACTCTGTTGCAGCCTAGAACTCCTGGGCTCAAGCAATCCTCTCACCCCAGCCTCCTGAGTAGCTGGGACTACAGGCATGTGCTACTATGCCCAACTAATTTTTAGAGGCGAGGCCTCACTATGTTGCCCAGGCTGGTCTTAAACTCCTGAGCTCAAGGGATCTTCTTCCCTTGGCCTCCCAAGTGCCGGGATTACAGGCGTGAGCCACTGTGCCCAGCCTTAAAAAAGTATTTAAATAGGTAAGATATGTAATGGAAAACCAAAGTTGGTAATGTCACATGCCACAGATTAAAATGTGTCTATTGGCACTCACTGGCAACTTTAGCAAAAGCAATTTGAATGGAGTAGGGTTGAAAATGAAGCCAGATTGCAGTGTGCTGTCATAAGTAAATTGGAGATGAGATAGTGATTCCACTCTAGATCAGCACTGTTCAATAAAGATTGAGCACATATGAATATATTTTACTTAGCCCAATATCTTTAAAATATTTCACTATATAATTTATATAAAATCATCAGTGAAATATTTTACCTTGAAATACCTCGATTCAGACTAGTGCTTAACTTCAAGTACTCAGTAGCCACATATGGTTAGTATCTACCATAATGCACAGGTAAAGACTCGACAGACTGTCCTGTTTGTTGAGAAACTAATGACAAAAGAGTATGGCCAGAGGCAACATGTGAGAATCCTCTAGTTATTTAGAGTCCAGTATAGCCACAGAACCCTTCCCAATGCAGCAGATTGCCTTTTTAAAATGAAGTATTTTATGTAATTTAAAAAACATAAATAATAACATAATAAATGTTCATAAGTTCCCCCTTCCTTGGGAAATAGAATATCCTGTGACCGTCCCAATTGAATTGTTAAATTGACATTTTCTTCTGTTTTTGCCCTCCTATAGGTTTTGGTAAGACTAGTCTGAATCGTAGAGGAAGAGTAATGCCTGGAAAGAGACGTCCTAATGGAGTTATCACTGGCCTTGCAGCTAGGAAAACGACTGGAATTCGAAAAGGAATTAGTCCTATGAATCGTCCACCTCTAAGTGACAAGGTAGGATGATGGCTTAATCCTGGATTAGATATCCTTTTCCTTTATTTGTACTAACATTTCTGTGAATAAGCTTAAGAGAGAATTTTATTTGTTTTTATGTAGTACTTTGGGACTGATATAAAAAAATTTAATATCTAAATAAAAATCATTGCCATTCATAAAGAATACCTAAATTTCCACATTCTCAAATATAAGTAAGTTGTTTGTTTGTTTTTGTTTTTTATATATAGAGTCTTGCTCTGTTACCCAGGCTGGAGTGCAGTGATGTGATCTTGGCTCACTGCAATGTCCACCTCCCAGGTTCAAGCAGTTCTCCTGCCTCAGCCTCCCGAGTAGCTGGGATTACAGGTGTGTGCCACCACTCCCAGCTAATTTTCATGTTGGCCAGGCTGGTCTCGAACTCCTGACCTCAAGTGATCTGCCCACCTTGGCCTCCCAAAGTGCTGGTATTACAGGCGTGAGCCACCGTGCCTGGCCGAAAATGAAGAGTTTTTTTGTTTGTTTGTTTTTGTTTTTTCAAGACAGAGTCTTGCTCTGTCGCCCAGGCTGGAGTGCAGTGGTGCAATCTCGGCTCACTGCAACCTCCACCTCCTGGTTTCAAGCAATTCTTCTGCCTCAGCCTCCCTAGTAGCTGGGACTACAGGTGCGTGCCACCATGCCTGGCTAATTTTTGTATTTTTAGTAGAGACGGGGTTTCACCATGCTGGCCAGGCTGGTCTCGAACTCCTGACCTCATGATCCATCCGCCTCACCCTCCCAAAGTGTGGGGATTAAAGGCGTAAGCCACGGTGCCTGGCCAGATTCAGAATTTTTAATGTGATTTAGTCAATGGATATTTATAAAGTACTTCTCATATACTTAATAGAAGAATCCAGATAAAGTATAAGATAAGGTGCATATTTGTCAAGAACTTTAGAGAAGTCTTTATGGACAATATGGATATCTGATTAGGCTTTAATGATGGATTTAATTTATGCATGTGGAGGAAGAAAAAGAGGATGTCTCATGTGCTTTTGTTTTTTATGATACTTTTCGCCTCTAACCACGTCTACTCCAGCGTCTTTGCTGTCATAACTTCCCCACTTTTTCTTTTTTTTTGGCATGCATTTGTTTTGGAACTTGGCTTTTTTAAATCTATTAGTATCAAAAATCATGTTTATAGAAATTATTCCCTGATTTATATCTATGGCTCTCTGATTCTTCTCTTGAGTTCCAGAGCCGCGATTCCCCATCACCTGTGGGTCCCCTGAGCACCTCACATATTTTAAATATCTCTGGCTCTCTGATTCTCTTGAGTTCCAGAGCCACGATTCCCCATCACCTGTGGGTCCCCCGAGTACCTCACATATTTTAAATATAATGTGGGGTTTTCATCTTTTCAGTCATGTAGACTGTACAGTTTCAAGTTGTTTGTTTCTCCGTCTCCCTTATCTGCACATTCAAGCAGTTGTCAATCCTTGTTCATTCTGCATCTGAAATGTTTATTGTAGTAGAGTATATAGAAAAATGCAATTTGATTAACATAATTTCTTGCCTTCTGATAGAATATAGAACAATATTTTCCAGTGTTAAAAAGGAAGGCAAACCTTCTGAGACAAAATGAAGGGCAGAGGAAACCAGTAGCAGTTCTCAAGAGACCTAGCCAGCTAAGCAGAAAGTAAGTGCTCAAAAATAATAATGTGTTATTTTGCATTAAAAACACTTCCTGCATTAAGTGGTGTGAAGAATGGATTTGCAGTGATTTTTTTAGTTATCTGGTCATTTTCAAGACAGATATTTGGGATGTCTATCTGAACATCCACATGGATGTATCCAGTAATAGCTTGTTTATTAGATGAATTCTTACTGATGAAGTTAACCGATATAAGCTTTTTAAAAAGCATCACTCTGCTTCTTTACCTCTTTGACATATGGAATAAAATTGCAAAAGCTGATCACTTTAGTAGAACTCTCTTTTTTTTCTCCCTGTTTTTTGAGACAGGGCTTCTCGATCTGTTGCTGAGGCTGGAGTGCAGTGGCGCCATCACTGCTCCCTGGAGCCTTGGCCTGCCCTGGGCTCAAGCGATCCTCCCACATCAGCCTCCTGAGTAGCTGGGACTGCAGATACATGCCACCATGCCCTGCTAATTTTTTTTTTTTTTTAATAGAGACAGGGTCTCACCATGTTGTCCAGGCTGGTCTCAATTCCTGGCCTCAAGTGATCCTCCCACCTCAGCCTCCTAAAGTGCTGGGATTACGGGCATGCGCCCCTGTGCCCAGCCCTGGTAGAACTCTTAACATCTTAGTGGGAATTATTCAAAATTGAGAATTCTGAAATCTCAATTTGTTACTCAGTCTGGATGGCTCTTACTAGAACACTGAATCACAATGTATGTTATTTGTGGAAAAATCAAACTAGAAAGGGAGAATTCTTCATGAACACTTGTTAAACTGAAATTATTTTTATACTAAATTGAATAATAAAAACCAAAAATTATGGCCTGTGAGCTGGGTGCAGTGGCATGTGCCTGTGGTCCCAGCTACTTACGAGGCTGAGGCAGGAGGATCACATGAGCCCAGGATTCAGGGCTAACCTGCTGGGCAACATAGTGAGACCCCCATCTCTGAAAAAGAAAGAAAAGAAAAATTATGATCTGTTGTTATGGCATTCTGTTCTCTGTAAGGACAAAGTAGATGAAGTTGATGAGGTGTGAAGTTTCCTTATTCAGTTTCAAGTATTATTTATTTATCTTTCGTGGAAGATAAGTCAGCAAAAAAAACCTGGAATGAGGTTTTTAAAAAATGCAGTGGCTGGGCACAGTGGCTCATGCCTGTATTCCCAGCACTTTGGGGGGCTAAAGCAGGCAGATCACCTGAGGTCAGGAGTTATGTGGCAAAACCCCATCTCTACTGAAAATGCAAAAATTAGGCCGGGTGCGGTGGCTCACGCCTGTAATCCCAGCACTTTGGGAGGCCGAGGCGGGCGGATCACGAGGTCAGGAGATCGAGACCATCCCGGCTAAAAACGGTGAAACCCCGTCTCTACTAAAAATACAAAAAATTAGCCGGGCGTGGTGGCGGGCGCCTGTAGTCCCAGCTACTTGGGAGGCTGAGGCAGGAGAATGGCGTGAACCCGGGAGGCGGAGCTTGCAGTGAGCCGAGATCCCGCCACTGCACTCCAGCCTGGGCGACAGAGCGAGACTCCGTCTCAAAAAAAAAAAAAAAAAAAAATGCAAAAATTAGCCCGATGTGGTGACCGGTGCATGCCAGCAATCCCAGCACTTTGGGAGGCCGCTGCGTGTGGATCACCTGAGGCCAGGAGTTCGAGACCAGCCTGGCCAACATGGTGAAACCCCATCTCTACTAAAAATACAAAAATTAGCTGGACGTGGTGGTTCATGCCTGTAGTTCCAGCTATTTGGGAGGCTGAGGCAGGAGAATCGCTTAAACCTGGGGGGCGGAAGTTGCAGTGAGTCAAGATGGTGCCACTGCACTCCAGCCTGGGTGACAGTGAGACTCTGTCTCAAAAAAATAAAAATAAAAAAACAAAAAATGGAATGGCTGGAATTGCAGTTTTAACCATCATCTTTTGGGAATCACTTGATAGTACCTTTTGTGAAAGGGGACCTTCTCAAATAAGAACCCATCATTTACGTGAGACTTACATGTTAATTGGGTTAGCTAGGGCAGTTTTGAACTTGAATCTCTGAAAGATTGGAGGTAAGACTAGGGAATCTGTTAAACACTCGTTTATATAGTGTTTCATATTTATCAATACATCAGTTGAAGACATGGAATGTTAGAGGATTGAATATTTCATAGATAAATATGAAATTTTAATTTTTCGTACTTCACTAACTTCCTATAGAAAACAAAAGAAATTAGGTGCCGCAAACCACCATGGCACATGTATAGCTACATAAGAAACTTGCACGTTCAGCACGTGTCTCAGAACTTAAAATTAAAAAAAAGAATTGGTGACAGTCATAATTAAGAGCATTGTTCTGTGCATGAAAGAACAAGAAATAGAAGAGTATAAGTTTTTCTGTGGTTTGTATATTTTTTGAGATGAAGTCTGTGTCGCTGGGCTGGAGTGCAGTGGCGTGATCTCGGCCCACAGCAACCTCTGCTTCCCTGATTGAAGCAATTCTCATGCTTCAGCCTCCTGAGTAGCTGGGACTACAGGCGTGTGCCACCAAGGCTGGCTAATTTTTGTGTTTTTAGTAGAGACGGGGTTTTACCATGTTACCCAGGCTGGTCTCAAACTCCTGACCTCAAGTGATCCACTCACCTCAACCTCCCAAAGTGCTGGGATTACAGGTGTGAGCCATAATGCCTGGCCTCTATGGTTTATGTTAATACATAATGGTTTCTGAGTGAGGAAGGAAGAGAAAGCTGGAGGAGGAGATGTTATTTTTCAAACCTTTCTCTTTATTTTTGGTCTTCAGTTTATTTTACGTCTTCAGTTTGGCCTATGTGTGGTTTTTCTTTGTACTAATCCTATAAATTGTAAAGTTATGTTTTCACCAAATATAGGAAATAGCACTAAAAATGTGATTATTAATGTCTTCAGAAGATATATGGGATATTAGAGGATTGAATATTTGGAAGATAAAGTGGTTTGAAATTAACACGTGGTTATGTGCTATGCTTCGGAGGGAGGTATTTGTTAATCAAATCTCAGTAGCTTCATGTTAATAAGCAAATAATTCAGAGTTGTTTGTTTCTTGCACCTCATGTTTGCAGCCTATGAATTTAACTATTTTTGCTTATTTTTCCTCAAGATGTTTGAAAGTAGTTAAATGGCTTAGCATGGCCTATGTGTTTTTGTTGCAGAAATAACATTCCAGCTAATTTTACCAGGAGTGGAAATAAATTAAATCATCAGAAAGATACTCGTCAGGCAACTTTTCTTTTCAGAAGAGGCCTGAAGGTATTTAAAAACTTTGGCAGTGTTTTTGTTTGTTTGTTTGTTTTTTCCCAAAGAGGATCCTGAGCAGCCACCTTTAGTAAGCCTCAGTCATAGGCAGCATTGGGTTCAGGATGTGAGGCACGTGGTAGTAGATTAGTTCTTCCTGTTGTATGTTTTTTATTTCCCATCTTTTCTTACCCTCAATAGCAATGTCTTATAAGAATTTAACTCGTTATTTGGGAATAAACCTGTATTTGCCACTCGTTCTCATGTAGGAATTCCAACAGGGAACTGTTGCCAGAATAGCGTGGGCCCCTCTGCTGCACTCACGCACACACCCCACTGGGTTAGGAAGTTCTAGAATAGCACGGGCCCCTCCGCTGCACTCACGCACACGCCCCACTGGGTTAGGAAGTTCTAGAATAGCGCGGGCCCCTCCGCAGCACTCACGCACACGCCCCACTGGGTTAGGAATTTCTAGAATAGCGCGGGCCCCTCCGCTGCACTCACGCACACGCCCCACTGGGTTAGGAAGTTGTAGAATAGCGCAGGCACCTCCGCTGCACTCATGTACACGCACCACTGGGTTAGGAAGTTCCAGAGCAGGATCGCTCTTTGGATTCAAATCCTCTGCTTTCTGTGGTACCTACTGCTTTTTTTTTCCCTTCAGGTGCAGGCCCAGTTGAATACAGAACAACTGCTAGACGATGTAGTAGCAAAGAGAACTCGTCAGTAAGTTTCCATTTGTTTTTTAAGATGTTATTTCAAAACTCCCAGAATACTAACTACCCAAATTATCATGTACCTCAGTCCAGAAGAAATTAATTGAAACCCAAAATAAAATTCAGTCTGAAAGCTGGGCATAGTGGTGCTACACACCTGTAATCCCAGCTAGTTGGGAGACTGAAGCAAGAGAATTGATGGAGCCCAAGAGTTCAAGGCTGTGAAGTGCCATAATGTCACCTGTGTATCGCCACTGCACACCAGCCTGAGCAGCATAGCTCGATGCCACTGCACACCAGCCTGAGCAGCATAACTTGATTGCCACTGCACACCAGCCTGAGCAGCATAGCTCGATGACCAGTGCACACCATCCTGAGCAGCATAGCTCGATGACCAGTGCACACCAGCCTGAGCAGCATAGCTCGATGACCAGTGCACACCATCCTGAGCAGCATAGCTCGATCGCCAGTGCATACCATCCTGAGCAGCATAGCTCGATCGCCAGTGCACACCAGCCTGAGCAGCATAGCTCGATCGCCAGTGCACACCAGCCTGAGCAGCATAGCTCGATGGCCAGTGCACACCATCCTGAGCAGCATAGCTCGATCGCCAGTGCATACCATCCTGAGCAGCATAGCTCGATGGCCAGTGCACACCAGCCTGAGCAGCATAGCTCGGGCTATGGAGACTGTCTCCAAAAAAATTTTTAAACATTGAGGCTAAAATAAATAAATCTTGTTTTGTCCTTTGTTAATTTTCCCCAAAAACCTTTTGAGTTTTCATGTGTCGATATTGTAACAGTTTTAGTGCCACGTAGATTACTTCATTTTTATTATTTTTATTTTTTATTGGCTATACCATTTTAATGAAACAGCTTTTTCTTTTTCTTTTTTTTGCTATAACTGCTTTCATACAAATGAACCTATTTAGGGAATGAATAGAATAAAATTCAGTGGAGCTTTTAGAACATTTGTACAACTTTAAAAACAATAGTTTTCCTTTTCACAGTCTTTTTTTCTTAGCCCTATAAAAAATCTTTTGAAAACCTATTTTATCCTGTTATAATCACACCTCCTAAGTGTGAGTTGTAACATACTAATTCCATCAGTGTGATTAGGTTTTGAGATTAAACTATTTAAAATTATGACTACTTTTTGGAAAATAAAATATATACACTTGGCCCTCTGTGTCTCAAGGGAATTGTTGCCAGGCCCATTGAAGAGATTAAAATCCTCAGATACTCAAGTCCCTTTCAGTCGGCCCTCCATATCCGCGGATTGTCTCTGTGTCTCAGGGGAATTGGTTCCAGGCCCACTGAAGAGATTAAAATCCTCAGATACTCAAGTCCCTTACAATCGGCCCTCCATATCCGTGGATTGTTTTCATTCTGCGGTTGCAACTGATTGAATACATGGACGTAGAACCTGTGGATACAGAGAGCTGGCTGTAAAACATGGTCAGGGCCCAGATATGGTGCCAACTGTGGTGCATGATTTTTAGCAATTGGAGTGTTAGGAAACTGTGAAACTGATACAGGTGGTATTCTTTAGCACAGGGGTCATGACATTAGAAACCATGGGGAAAGAAATAATAATTGTAGCCTTTTTGCTTCTGCAGTGAACAATATTTACATAATTGTGATCATATAAATGTTATTTGTTTTGAACTTTGAGAATCAACCTGTTAGACAAAGCACAAAATAGTTAATTTGAGAACAATATAATGTAAATGTCCGATTTTGACTAATGTGAATATAAAGGAAGAGCTGACAGAAAGTGAGAGGTACAAACAAAGGAGCAGAGGTGGAGGGAAGGAATAGAGGCACTATTATCCTTTCACATAAAGCTGGGGGTGGGTTCAAGAGATTCTGCTGAAAGAAACAGAGATTTAAGTATTTTCAGTTACAAAGGCCTGGAAATAGTGATACAGCCATCAAAATGTTTCATGGTGGGTAAGGAAACTGGAGGATAGTTTGACGAACTAAATCTTTATTCATCATAGCAATTTTTTTTTTTTTTTTTTGAGATGGAGTCTCGCTCTGTTGCCCAGGCTGGAGCGCAGTGGCACAATCTCAGTTCACTGCAACCTCCCCCTCCCGGGTTCAAGCAGTTCTCTGCCTCAGCCTCCTGAGTAGCTGGGATTACAAATACCCACCACCACACCCCACGCCCAGCTTAAATTTGTTTTTTTTTTTTTTTTTTTTGGTAGAGATGGGGTTTCACTATCTTAGCCAGGCTGGTCTTGAACTCCTGACCTCATGATCCACCTGCCTCTGCCTCCCAAAGTGCTGGGATTACAGGTGTGAGCCAGTGCCCGGCTGCAGCAAGGTTTTTTTTTTACTATGTAAGCATCTTGTTTAGTGAATTGGAAGTAACCAGAAAGCAGTAAAAACAGGTTAAAAGTGCTGCCTCTGGAGAGTAGGAATAGAAAGCAGGAGAATAGTGGGGTGAGGGACTGTTGCTTTTTATTAGAAGTTCTTTTGTACTATTTGATTTTTTTAAATTTGTATACATTTATTACACTGAAAAATATTTAATAAATTAATTCAGATGCCCAGTTCCGCACCCAAGATGTTGATTTATTATATCATGGTGGGGTTCAGGTACTTATTTCTTACAAGCTAAGAAAAAGTAATGGCTACTTTTAATGTTCATTTTTATTTTGAATATACATAGGGTTTATCAACTTACATTTAATGAATTTTTTTTATTTTTTTTGAAACTAGATGGCGGACTTCCACCACAAATGGAGGGATTTTGACTGTATCTATTGACAATCCTGGAGCAGTGCAATGCCCAGTGTAAGTTGTTTCTTTCTTTTTGCAAAAATTATAACCTCTCATTACATGAGATCATAAGAAAGTATTGGACTTCTGCTCAGAGAATGATGTCCAAGTTGGGATGAACCAGGAAGACAGTAATACCTGTGATACAATATGGAAACAGTATATGGTGTAAAGTAAAGTAAGAGCTTTCTTGATTCCTGATTCTGCAGCCCTAAATGACCACGTTGGAACAGTGTTTTTTATGTTTTAAAAATTATGTGCATGTATACTCTGTGTACCCTTTTTTTGGAGGCAAGGTCTGGCTCTGTTACCCAGGCTGGAGTGCAGTGCCATGATCATGGCTTATTGCAGTCTTGACCTCCCAAGCTCAAGCGATCCTCCTGCCTCAGCCTCCCGAGTCCTGAGGAGCTGCAGCGACAGTTGCCCACCACCATGTCTGGCTTTTTTGTTTGTTTGTGCCCAGACTGGTCTTGAACTCCTAGACTTAAGCAGTCCTCTTGCCTTGGCCTCCCAAAATGCTAAGGTTACAGGTGTGAGCCACTGCACCTGACCCAATATATATATTTTTGTGTACAATAATAAACGAGATGATGGTATACATGCTACTTCTCCTAATCCCTGTAATGTTTTCGATGTCTTTATTTTTCAGACCATACAGACCTACGTTCTCTTTAAATTTATTGCTTTATAAACTTTGTCAATTTATGGAGCTTATGTTCTATTCAACCATCTCTTGATTTTTTTAAGAGATAACGTCTCACTCTGATGCCCAGGCTAGAGTGCAGTGGTGCCACCATAGCTCACTGCTGCCTCGAACTCCTGGGCTCCAATAATTCTCCTGCCTCAGCCTCCTGAGTAGCTGGGAACATAGGCATGCACCACCACACCCAGCTAATTTTTTTTTTGTACAGATGGGGGTCTTGCTGTGTTCCTTAGGCTGGTCTCTAACCCCTGGCCTCAAGCGATCCTTGTGCCTTGGCCTCCCAAAGTACCGGGATTATAGGCCCGAGCCACAGTGCCTAGCCCTCCAGCCATCTTAATGATTGAAATGAAAAGCATGTAGGATGGGTACCTAGGACTTTAGAGGTTGCTTTATTTTAATGGAAGATCAAGAGTTAGGAATCACCAAACATTCCAACTTGTTGAAAAGTTTGTAGTTCTATTTAAAGAGATATTCTCTGAACAATTATATATTTTAGTCTAGAGTAGCCAGTGAAACTTTTTTTTTGAGAACACAAATAAAATGGCCCTAATACATTTGAACATGTGTACAAGATGTCTTAAGTACCAAGTGAATTTATTTTTCTTTTCATTGTTAAGCTGCTCTGATATTTTAATATTTTTCTAATAGAACTCAGAAACCACGATTAACTCGTACTGCTGTACCTTCATTTTTAACAAAGCGGGAGCAAAGTGACGTCAAGAAAGTTCCTAAAGGTGTTCCCCTGCAGTTTGACATAAACAGTGTCGGAAAACAGGTAAAAAAACGTTTTCTGTATTTTCTTGGGTCATTTGCTGAGTATTTTAATTAACAAAGTATTTATTATAATAGTGAATTATAAACAAGGTATCCTAACTGCCCCCTGAAACCTAGGGAACCACTAATCTGCTTTTGTCTGCCATTTGCCTATTTTGACATTTCATATAAATCAGCTCATACGGTATACATTTGTGACTGAATTCTTTCACTTAGCATAATGTTTTAAAGGTTCATCTATATTGTATGCGTGTTTAATTTTGTTTTCCTGCTGAACAGTGTTCATCATATGTATATACCACATCTTATTTATTCCTTCATTACTGGATGGGTATTTGGGGTGTTTTCAGTCCTCGGATATTAGGAATAATACTGCTCTGAGCATTTGTGCAGAAGTTTTTGTGTGAGCATCTGTTTTCATTTCTCCCTGGTAAATACCTAGGAGTAGAATTGCTAGGTTTATAGTAACTCTGTATCTAACCTTTTGAGGAACTGCTGGACTGCTTTTTTCCTAGAAGAGTCTGTGCTACAGCTTAATATTCCCACCAGCATCTATGAGGGTTCTGAATTTCTCTACATCCTCACCAACACTCACTATTATCTGCTGTTCGACTATAGCCATCTAGCAAGATTACAGGATACAAGGTTAATAACAAAATTGTCAAAACCAACCAGGTGCGGTGGCTCACGCCTGTAATCCCAGCACTTTGGGAGGCCGAGGTGGGGAGATCACCTGAAGTCAGGAGTTCGAGACCAGCCTGGCCAACGTGGTGAAATCCTGTCTCTACTAAAAATACAAAAATTAGCCTGGTGTGGTGGCTCATGCCTGTAATCCCAGCTACTAAGGAGGCTGAGGCAGGAGAATTGCTTGAACCCAGGAGGCAGAGTTGGCAGGGAGCTGAGATCGTGCCACTCACTCCAGCCTGGGCAACAGAGCAATACTACATCTCAAAAAAAAAAAGGTCAAAACCACATTGACAATTTTGTATTAACCATATTAAGCTTGTATCCTATAATTTTGCTAAATTCACTTACTTTTGTATTGACTTTGTGGATTCCTTAGGACTTTTTTTTTTTTTTTTTTTGTGAAACAGTCTCACTCTGTCACCAGGACTGGAATGCAGTGGCATAATCATAGCTCACTGTAGCTTTGACCTCCCAGACTCAAACGATCCTTCCTCCCACCTCAGCCTCCTGGGTAGCTGGGGATACAGGCACACACCACCACACCCAGGGATTCAGGCACACACACCACCACACCTGAGGATACAGGCACACACACCACACCTGGGGATACAGGCACACACCACCACACCTGGGGATACAGGCAAACACCACCACACCTGGGTATGCAGGCACACACCATACCTGGGGATGCAGGCACACACACTACACCTGGAGATACAGGCACACACTGCCACACCTGGGGATACAGGCACACACCACCACACCTGGGGATGCAGGCACACACACCACACCTGGGGATACAGGCACACACCATACCTGGGGATGCAGGCACACACACTACACCTGGAGATACAGGCACACACTGCCACACCTGGGGATGCAGGCACACACCACCACACCTGGGGATGCAGGCACACACACCACACCTGGGGATACAGGCACACACACCACCACACCTGGGGATATAGGCACACACATCAGCACACCTGGGGATACAGGCACACACCCACACCTGGGGATACAGGCACACACACCACACCTGGGGATACAGGCACACACACCATACTTGGCTAATTCTTATATTTTTTGTAGAGACAGGGTTTCAGATAGGGTTTCGCTACATTGCCCAGGCTGGTCTTGAACTCCTAAGCTCAAGCCACCGCCTGCCTTCTGTGGCTGGCCAGCTTAGGATTTTCTGTGTAAACAATCATTTCATTCTCCTAATTCCTTTCCAATCTTTAAACCTTTTCTTTTTCTTGCTTTGTTACAAAGGCTAGGACCTCCAGTCCAATGTTGAGTAGAAGTGGTAAGATGTATACTTGTATGCATGCCTTGTTCCAAAGCCTGAAGAGAAAGCACTAAATATGTCACCATTTAGTATGATATTAGGCATAGATTTTTTTTTTTTTTGAGATGGAGTCTTGCTCTGTAGCCCAGGCTGGAGTGCAGTGGCATGATCTTGGCTGACTGCAACCTCTGCCTCCTGGGTTCAAGCAATTCTCCTGCCTTAGCCTCCTGAGTAGCTGGGATTACAGGCATGTGCCACCACACCCGGCTAATTTTACTGTATTTTTAGTAGAGACAGGGTTTCACCATATTGGCCAGGCTGGTCTCAAACTCCTGAACTTTTGATCCGCCTGCCTTGGCCTCCCAAAGTGCTGGGATTACAGGCGTGAGCCACCATGCCTGGCCCAGTTTCTTTTTTTTTATTTTTTATTTTTATAGATTCTCTTTGTCAGATTGAGGAAGCTCCCTTCTATTCCTGATATGCTGAGAATTTTTATCAAGAATGGGTATTCAATTTTGTCAAATGCTTTTTTGGTATCCTTGAAATAATGTGAAATTGAAGATACAAAGGATGGATAGAAATTTGACCAAATTGGCCTGGTGCGGTGGCTCACGCCTGTAATCCCAGCACTTTGGGAGGCCGACACAGGTGGATCACTTGGGGTCAGGAGTTTGAGACCAGCCTGGTCAACATGGAAAAACCCTGTCTCCACTAAAAATAAAAAAATTAGCCGGGTGTGGTAGCACGTGCCTGTAATCCCAGCTACTCGGGAGGCTGAGGTGGGAGAATTGCTTGAACCCAGGAGGCGGAAGTTGCAATGAGCTGAGATTGTGCCACTGCACTCCAGCCTGGATGACAGCCAGACTGTCTCAATAAAAAAAAAAAAAAAATTTTGACCAAATTTGTTTTGCTTATTTTTATTTTGTTGCTATTATTGTTTTCCAGAAATGGTATAGTTTGTAGATGCTGTTGTTAATAAAAAAAAAAACAGATTTTCATTTGAATTTGATTTGAATTTCTGTGTTGAACTCACCGTAATTCAAGAAAATTTGCTATAAAATATTTACAGGTCTGAAGAGTTCTTACTTTTATCAGTGACATCATGAGTTGGTGGCAGTGTTTACAGAGCCTGAAAATAATTCAGATAGGGGCTTTGGGTGTATGACTTCTAGGCATTATAGCATATGTGTGTTTTATATAGTATATAATGTAGGCTTTATATGAGGTCATACATGTAAATATTTAGGAAATTTTAGCTGTCATTACTTGTAATTAATCATAAGATCACATTATTGTTCCAAAGCAAATATGGCCTTCAGTAAAGTTGTTAATTGTTGCTTTGTTGTTGTTTTTGTTTTTTTCTTTTCTCTAGACAGGGATGACGTTGAATGAGCGGTTTGGGATCCTGAAGGAACAAAGAGCCACTCTCACATACAACAAAGGGGGAAGCCGCTTTGTCACCGTGGGATAGGTCCCATGTCAAAGGAACTTTTGAGTGATGACTCTGAGAAGTTGAATTGCTTGAAGAGTTCATCACGGAAATTCAAGAAACTTTACTTCAAAATATTCACAAGGCTAAATAACTCTTATTTTTATTTTTGAAGGTTTTTTTTTTTAAAAAAAAAAACGTATAAAATAATGCCCTGAAAGAATAATAGGGATTATACCTGTCTGTTCTTAAAGATTTCATGGTTGGCTCAGACAGAACAATCATCTGTTTGACTTCTTTGGTTCCTCATGCAGCAGAAGGAAGACAGAAAGATAGAAATTGATTATTTTTATGATAGCAGTATTCAGGATCTCATCACCTTTGCCCGTGTTTTAGACTTTGTCATGGTAAATCCTGGTCTTCATAAACATGAGTAGGTCCCTTGGTTGCTGTCACTTGCCCTTTAATAGTGTTGATGTAGTCAGTGCCGTTGCCTTTTCTTCATTAGAGACACAGAACAATGTATTAGAATTTCCAGCTGTGGGTTTGAAGACTTAGGGGGACATCCAGAACGTGCTTCCTCTTTCAGACGGTGTAAAGTCCCCTGGAATTACACAGCTTTAGTGCTGAGCTTTTAACAGGAAATGTGGCCCTAGGTATTAGTCTTAGTTTAAAATGTTGGTGTTTAGAGAC